>NC_000018.10:15460899-15535258 GCF_000001405.40 Homo sapiens
AACATGCTCAGAAACTGCTTTGTGATATCTGCATTCACGTCACAGAGTTGAACATTCCCTTTCATAGAGCAGGTTTGAAACACACTTTCTGTAGTATCTGGATGTGGGCACTTGGAGCGCTTGGACGCTTATGGTGAAAAAGAACATATCGTCCCATAAAAACTGGACAGAAGCATTCTCACAAACTGCTTTGTGACGTATGTCTTCAACTAACAGAGTTGAACATTTCTATTTACAGAGCAGTTTTGAAAGACTCTTTTGGAGTATCTGCTAGTGGATATTTGGAGAGCTTTAAGGATTTCATTGGAAACCGGAATATCTTCAGGTAAAATTTAGACAGAGGCATTCTCAGTAAACTTCTTCGTAATGTGTGTCCTCAACTAACAGTGTACAACCTATCTTTTGATACAGCACGTTGGAAACACTCTTTTTATAGAATCTGCAAGTGGATAGTTGGATAGCTCTAACGATTTCGTTGGAAATGGCAATACCTTCATATAAAATCTAGACAGTGGCACTCTCAGAAACTGCTTTGTGATATCTGCATTCAAGCCACAGAGTTGAACATTTCCCTTCCTAAAGCAGGTTTGAAACACTCTTTCTGTCGTATCTGGAAGTGGACATTTGGAGCACTTTGACGCCTTTGGTGAAAAAGGAAATGTCTTCCCATGAAAACTAGACAGAAGCATTCTAAGAAACATTTTTGGGATATATGTACTCAACTAACAGAGTTGAACCTTTCTCTTTATAGATCAGTTTTGGAAAGCTCTTTATGTGGAATCTGCAGATGGATATTCGGATAGCTCTGAGGATTTCGTTGGAGATGGGAATACATAAAGAAAGTAGACAGCAGCATTCTCAGGAGATTCTTTGTGATGTTTGCTTTTAAGTCACAGAGTTGAATATTCCCTTCAATAGAGCAGGTTTGAAACACTCTTTCTGTAGTATCTGGAAGTGGACATTTCGATCGATTTCAGGCCTATGTTGAAAAAGGAAATACCTTAACATCAAAACTAGACAGAAGCATTCTCAGAAACGTCTTTGTGATGTGTCTCCTCAACTAACAGAGTTCAACCTTTCTTATGATACAGCAGTTTGGAAACACTCTTTTTATAGAATTTGCAAGCTGATACATGGATAGCCCTAACTATTTCGTTGGAAACGGGAATATCTTCACATAAAACCTAGACAGAAGCACTGTCAGAAACTACTTTGTGATATCTGCATTCATATCACAGAGGTGAATATTCCCTTCCTAAGAGCAGGTTTGAAACCGTCTTTCTGTGGAATCTGCAGGAGGATATTTGGATAGCTTTCAGGACTTCGTTGGAAACGGGATTACATATACAAAGTAGACAGCAGCATTCTCAGAAGCTTCTTTGTGATGTTTGCTTTTAAGTCACAGAGTTCAACATTCCCTTTCATAGAGCAGGTTTCAAACCCTCTTTCGGCAGTATCTGGAAGTGGACATTTCGAGCGCTTTCAGGCCTATGGTGAAAAAGGAAATATCTTCCCATAAAAACAAGACAGAAGCATTCGCAGAAACTTGTTTGTGATGTGTGTCCTCAACTCACGGAGTTGAACATTTCGTTTGACAGAGCAGTTTGGAAACACGATTTTTGTAGAATCTGCAAGTGGATATTTGGATGGCTTTGTGGATTTCGTTGGAAACGGGAGTATCTTCATAGACAACCTAGACAGTAACATGCTCAGAAACTGCTTTGTGATATCTGCATTCACGTCACAGAGTTGAACATTCCCTTTCATAGAGCAGGTTTGAAACACACTTTCTGTAGTATCTGGATGTGGGCACTTGGAGCGCTTGGACGCTTATGGTGAAAAAGGACAGATCGTCCCATAAAAACTGGACAGAAGCATTCTCACAAACTGCTTTGTGACGTATGTCTTCAACTAACAGAGTTGAACATTTCTATTCACAGAGCAGTTTTGAAAGACTCTTTTGGAGTATCTGCTAGTGGATATTTGGAGAGCTTTAAGGATTTCATTGGAAACCGGAATATCTTCAGGTAAAATCTAGACAGAGGCATTCTCAGAAACTTCTTCGTCATGTGTGTCCTCAACTAACAGTGTACAACCTGTCTTTTGATACAGCACGTTGGAAACACTCTTTTTATAGAATCTGCAAGTGGATAGTTGGATAGCTCTAACGATTTCGTTGGAAACGGGAATACCTTCATATAAAATCTAGACAGTGGCACTCTCAGAAACTGCTTTGTGATATCTGCATTCAAGCCACAGAGTTGAACATTTCCCTTCCTAAAGCAGGTTTGAAACACTCTTTTTGTCGTATCTGGAAGTGGACATTTGGAGCACTTTGACGCCTTTGGTGAAAAAGGAAATGTCTTCCCATCAAAACTAGACAGAAGCATTCTATGAAACATTTCTGGGATATATGTACTCAACTAACAGAGTTGAACCTTTCTCTTTATAGATCAGTTTTGGAAAGCTCTTTATGTGGAATCTGCAAATGGATATTCGGATAGCTCTGAGGATTTCGTTGGAGACGGGAATACATAAAGATAGTAGACAGCAGCATTCTCGGGAGATTCTTTGTGATGTTTGCTTTGAAGTCACAGAGTTGAATATTCCCTTCAATAGAGCAGGTTTGAAACACTCTTTCTGTAGTATCTGGAAGTGGCCATTTCGATCGATTTCAGGCCTATGTTGAAAAAGGAAATATCTCTACATAAAAACTAGACAGAAGCATTCTCAGAAACGTCTTTGTGATGTGTGTCCTCAACTAACAGAGTTCAACCTTTCTTATGATACAGCAGTTGGGAAACACTCTTTTTATAGAATTTGCAAGCTGATACATGGATAGCCCTAACTATTTCGTTGGAAACGGGAATATCTTCACATAAAACCTAGACAGAAGCACTCTCAGAAACTACTTTGTGATATCTGCATTGATATCACAGAGTTGAATATTCCCTTTCTAAGGGCAGGCTTGAAAGCGTCTTTTCGTGGAATCTGCAGGAGGATATTTGGATAGCTTTGAGGGTTACGTTGGAAACGGGATTACATGTACAAAGCAGACAGCAGCATTCTCAGAAGCTTCTTTATGATGTTTGCGTTCAAGTCACAGAGTTGAACGTTCCCTTTCATAGAGCAGGTTTCACACCCTCTTTCTGCAGTATCTGGAAGTGGACATTTCGAGCGCTTTCAGGCCTATGGTGAACAAGGAAATATCTTCCCATGCAAACTAGACAGAAGCATTCGCAGAAACTTCTTTGTGATGTGTGTCCTCAACTCACAGAGTTGAACATTTCGTTTGACAGAGCAGTTTGGAAACACGATTTTTGTAGAATCTGCAAGTGGATATTTGGATGGCTTTGTGGATTTCGTTGGAAACGGGAGTATCTTCACAGACAACCTAGACAGTAACATTCTCAGAAACGGCTTTGTGATATCCGCATTCACGTCACAGAGTTGAACATTCCCTTTCATAGAGCAGGTTTGAAACACCCTTTCTGTAGTATCTGGATGTGGGCACTTGGAGCTCTTGGACGCTTATGGTGAAAAAGGAAATATCGTCCCATAAAACCTAGACAGAAGCATTCTCACAAACTGCTTTGTGACGTATGTCGTCAGCTAACAGAGTTGAGCATTTCTATTCACAGAGCAGTTTTGAAAGACTCTTTTGGAGTATCTGCTAGTGGATATGTGGAGAGCTTTAAGGATTTCACTGGAAACCGGAATATCTTCAGGTAAAATCTAGACAGAGGCATTCTCAGAAACTTCTTTGTAATGTGTGTCCTCAACTAACAGTGTACAACCTATCTTTTGATACAGCACGTTGGAAACACTCTTTTTATAGAATCTGCAAGTGGATATTTGGATAGCTCTAACGATTTCGTTGGAAACGGGAATACCTTCATATAAAATCTAGACAGTTTCACTCTCAGAAACTGCTTTGTGATATCTGCATTCAAGCCACAGAGTTGAACATTTCCCTTCCTAAAGCAGGTTTGAAACACTCGTTTTGTCGTATCTGGAAGTGGACATTTGGAGCACTTTGACGCCTTTGGTGAAAAATGAAATGTCTTCCCCTCAAAACTAGACAGAAGCATTCTAAGAAACATTTTTGGGATATATGTACTCAACTAACAGAGTTGAACCTTCCTCTTTATAGATCAGTTTTGGAAAGATCTTTATGTGGAATCTGCAAGTGGATATTCGGATAGATCTGAGGATTTCGCTGGAGACGGGAATACATAAAGAAAGTAGACAGCAGCATTCTCGGGAGATTCTTTGTGATGTTTGCTTTGAAGTCACAGAGTTGAATATTCCCTTCAATAGAGCAGGTTTGAAACACTCTTTCCGTAGTATCTGGAAGTGGACATTTCGATCGATTTCAGGCCTATGTTGAAAAAGGAAATATCTTAACATAAAAACTAGACAGAAGCATTCTCAGAAATGTCTTTGTGATGTGTGTCCTCAACTAACAGAGTTCAACCTTTCTTATGATACAGCAGTTGGGAAACACTCTTTTTATAGAATTTGCAAGTTGCTACATGGATAGCCCTAACTATTTCGTTGGAAACGGGAATATCTTCACATAAAACCTAGACAGAAGCACTCTCAGAAACTACTTTGTGATATCTGCATTGATATCAGAGAGTTGAATATTCCCTTTCTAAGGGCAGGCTTGAAAGCGTCTTTTCGTGGAATCTGCAGGAGGATATTGGATAGCTTTGAGGGTTACGTTGGAAACGGGATTACATGTACAAAGCAGACAGCAGCATTCTCAGAAGCTTCTTTGTGATGTTTCCGTTTAAGTCACAGAGTTGAACGTTCCCTTTCATAGAGCAGGTTTCAAACCCTCTTTCTGCAGTATCTGGAATTGGACATTTCGAGCACTTTCAGGCCTATGGTGAACAAGGAAATATCTTCCCAAGCAAACTAGACAGAAGCATTCGCAGAAACTTGTTTGTGATGTGTGTCCTCAACTCACAGAGTTGAACATTTCATTTGACAGAGCAGTTTGGAAACACGATTTTTGTAGAATCTGCAAGTGGATATTTGGATGGCTTTGTGGATTTCGTTGGAAACGGGAGTATCTTCATAGAAAACCTAGACAGTAACATTCTCAGAAACGGCTTTGTAATATCCGCATTCACGTCACAGAGTTGAACTTTCCCTCTCATAGAGCAGGCTTGAAACACACTTTCTGTAGTATCTGGATGTGGGCACTTGGAGTGCTTGGACGCTTATGGTGAAAAAGGAAATATCGTCCCATAAAAACTAGACAGAATCATTCTCACAAACTGCTTTGTGACGTATGTCTTCAACTAACAGAGTTGAACATTTCTATTCACAGAGCCGTTTTGAAAGACTCTTTTGGAGTGTCTGCTAGTGGATATTTGGAGAGCTTTAAGGATTTCATTGGAAACCGGAATATCTTCAGGTAAAATCTAGACAGAGGCATTCTCAGAAACTTCTTTGTAATGTGTGTCCTCAACTAACAGTGTACAACCTATCTTTTGATACAGCACGTTGGAAACACTCTTTTTATAGAATCTGCAAGTGGATATTTGGATAGCTCTAACGATTTCGTTGGAAACGGGAATACCTTCATATAAAATCTAGACAGTGGCACTCTCAGAAACTGCTTTGTGATATCTGCATTCAAGCCACAGAGTTGAACATTTCCCTTCCTAAAGCAGGTTTGAAACACTCTTTCTGTCGTATCTGGAAGTGGACATTTGGAGCACTTTGACGCCTTTGGTGAAAAAGGAAATGTCTTCCCATGAAAACTAGACAGAAGCATTCTAAGAAACATTTTTGGGATATATGTACTCAACTAACAGAGTTGAACCTTTCTCTTTATAGATCAGTTTTGGAAAGCTCTTTATGTGGAATCTGCAGATGGATATTCGGATAGCTCTGAGGATTTCGTTGGAGACGGGACTACATAAAGAAAGTAGACAGCAGCATTCTCAGGAACTTCTTTGTGATGTTTGCCTTCAAGTCACAGGACTGAACATTCCCTTTCATAGAGCAGGTTTGAAACACTCTTTCTGTAGTATCTGCAAGCTGACGTTTCAAGCGCTTTCAGGCCTATGGTGAGAAAGGAAATATCTTCAAGTAAAAACTAGACAGAAAGCATTCTCAGAAACGTCTTTGTGATGTGTGTCCTCAACTAACAGAGTTCAACCTTTCTTATGATACAGCAGTTTGGAAACACTCTTTTTATAGAATTTGCATGTTGATATATGGATAGCCCTAACTATTTCGTTGGAAACGGGAATATCTTCATATAAAACCTAGACAGAAGCACTCTCAGAAACTACTTTGTGATATCTGCATTGATATCAGAGAGTTGAATATTCCCTTTCTAAGGGAAGGCTTGAAAGCGTCTTTTCGTGGAATCTGCGGGAGGATATTTGGATAGCTTTGGGGGTTACGTTGGAAACGGGATTACATATACAAAGTAGACAGCAGCATTCTCAGAAGCTTCTTTATGATGTTTGCGTTTAAGTCACAGAGTTGAACGTTCCCTTTCATAGAGCAGGTTTCAAACCCTCTTTCTGCAGTATCTGGAAGTGGACATTTCGAGCGCTTTCAGGCCCATGGTGAACAAGGAAATATCTTCCCATGCAAACTAGACAGAAGCATTCGCAGAAACTTGTTTCTGATGTGTGTCCTCAATTCACGGAGTTGAATATTTCGTTTGACAGAGCAGTTCGGAAACACGATTTTTGTAGAATCTTCAAGTGGATATTTGGATGGCTTTGTGGATTTCGTTGGAAACGGGAGTATCTTCATAGACAACCTAGACAGTAACATTCTCAGAAACGGCTTTGTGATATCCGCATTCACGTCACAGAGTTGAACATTCCCTCTCATAGAGCAGGCTTGAAACACACATTCTGTAGTATCTGGATGTGGGCACTTGGAGCGCTTGGACGCTTATGGTGAAAAAGGAAATATCGTCCCATAAAAACTAGACAGAAGCATTCTCACAAACTGCTTTGTGACGTATGTCTTCAACTAACAGAGTTGAACATTTCTATTCACAGAGCAGTTTTGAAAGACTCTTTTGGAGTATCTGCTAGTGGATATTTGGAGAGCTTTAAGGATTTCATTGGAAACCGGAATATCTTCAGGTAAAATCTAGACAGAGGCATTCTCAGAAACTTCTTCGTAATGTGTGTCCTCAACTAACAGTGTACAACCTATCTTTTGATACAGCACGTTGGAAACACTCTTTTTATAGAATCTGCAAGTGGATAGTTGGATAGCTCTAACGATTTCGTTGGAAACTTGAATACCTTCATATAAAATCTAGACAGTGGCACTCTCAGAAACTGCTTTGTGATATCTACATTCAAGCCACAGAGTTGAACATTTCCCTTCCAAAAGCAGGTTTGAAACACTCTTTTTGTCGTATCTGGAAGTGGACATTTGGAGCACTTTGACGCCTTTGGTGAAAAAGGAAATGTCTTCCCATCAAAACTAGACAGAAGCATTCTAAGAAACATTTTTGGGATATATGTACTCAACTAACAGAGTTGAACCTTTCTCTTTATAGATCAGTTTTGGAAAGCTCTTTATGTGGAATCTGCAGATGGATATTCGGATAGCTCTGAGGATTTCGTTGGAGACGGGAATACATTAAGAAAGTAGACAGCAGCAATCTCAGGAGACTCTTTGTGATGTTTGCTTTTAAGTCACAGAGTTGAATATTCCCTTCAATAGAGCAGGTTTGAAACACTCTTTCTGTAGTATCTGGAAGTGGACATTTCGATCGATTTCAGGCCTATGTTGAAAAAGGAAATACCTTAACATAAAAACTAGACAGAAGCATTCTCAGAAATGTCTTTGTGATGTGTGTCCTCAACTAACAGATTTCAACCTTTCTTATGATACAGCAGTTTGGAAACACTCTTTTTATAGAATTTGCAAGTTGATACATGGATAGCCCTAACTATTTCGTTGGAAACGGGAATATCTTCATATAAAACCTAGGCAGAAGCACTCTCAGAAACTACTTTGTGATATCTGCATTGATATCAGAGAGTTGAATATTCCCTTTCTAAGGGCAGGCTTGAAAGCGTCTTTTTGTGGAATCTGCAGGAGGATATTTGGATAGCTTGGAGGGTTACGTTGGAAACGGGATTACATATACAAAGTAGACAGCAGCATTCTCAGAAGCTTCTTTGTGATGTTTGCGTTTAAGTCACAGAGTTGAACGTTCCCTTTCGTAGAGCAGGTTTCAAACCCTCTTTCTGCAGTATCTGGAAGTGGACATTTCGAGCGCTTTCAGGCCCATGGTGAACAAGGAAATATCTTCCCATGCAAACTAGACAGAAGCATTCGCAGAAACTTGTTTGTGATGTGTGTCCTCAACTCACGGAGTTGAACATTTCGTTTGACAGAGCAGTTTGGAAACACGATTTTTGTAGAATCTGCAAGTGGATATTTGGATGGCTTTGTGGATTTCGTTGGAAACGGGAGTATCTTCATAGACAACCTAGACAGTAACATGCTCAGAAACTGTTTTGTGATATCTGCATTCACGTCACAGAGTTGAACATTCCCTTTCATAGAGCAGGTTTGAAACACACTTTCTGTAGTATCTGGATGTGGGCACTTGGAGCGCTTGGACGCTTATGGTGAAAAAGGACATATCGTCCCATAAAAACTGGACAGAAGCATTCTCACAAACTGCTTTGTGACGTATGTCTTCAACTAACAGAGTTGAACATTTCTATTCACAGAGCAGTTTTGAAAGACTCTTTTGGAGTATCTGCTAGTGGATATTTGGAGAGCTTTAAGGATTTCATTGGAAACCGGAATATCTTCAGGTAAAATCTAGACAGAGGCATTCTCAGAAACTTCTTCGTAATGTGTGTCCTCAACTAACAGTGTACAACCTATCTTTTGATACAGCACGTTGGAAACACTCTTTTTATAGAATCTGCAAGTGGATAGTTGGATAGCTCTAACGATTTCGTTGGAAACGGGAATACCTTCATATAAAATTTAGACAGTGGCACTCTCAGAAACTGCTTTGTGATATCTGCATTCAAGCCACAGAGTTGAACATTTCCCTTCCTAAAGCAGGTTTGAAACACTCTTTCTGTCGTATCTGGAAGTGGACATTTGGAGCACTTTGACGCCTTTGGTGAAAAAGGAAATGTCTTCCCATCAAAACTAGACAGAAAGCATTCTAAGAAACATTTTTGGGATATATGTACTCAACTAACAGAGTTGAACCTTTCTCTTTATAGATCAGTTTTGGAAAGCTCTTTATGTGGAATCTGCAGATGGATATTCGGATAGCTCTGAGGATTTCGTTGGAGACGGGAATACATAAAGAAAGTAGACAGCAGCATTCTCGGGAGATTCTTTGTGATGTTTGCTTTGAAGTCACAGAGTTGAATATTCCCTTCAATAGAGCAGGTTTGAAACACTCTTTCTGTAGTATCTGGAAGTGGACATTTCGATCGATTTCAGGCCTATGTTGAAAAAGGAAATATCTTAACATAAAAACTAGACAGAAGCATTCTCAGAAACGTCTTTGTGATGTGTGTCCTCAACTAACAGAGTTCAACGTTTCTTATGATACAGCAGTTTGGAAACACTCTTTTTATAGAATTTGCAAGTTGATACATGGATAGCCCTAACTGTTTCGTTGGAAACGGGAATATCTTTACATAAAACCTAGACAGAAGCACTCTCAGAAACTACTTTGTGAAATCTGCATTGATATCAGAGAGTTGAATATTCCCTTTCTAAGGGCAGGCTTGAAAGCGTCTTTTCATGGAATCTGCAGGAGGATATTTGGATAGCTTTGAGGGTTACGTTGGAAACGGGATTACATGTACAAAGCAGACAGCAGCATTCTCAGAAGCTTCTTTATGATGTTTGCGTTCAAGTCACAGAGTTGAACGTTCCCTTTCATAGAGCAGGTTTCAAACCCTCTTTCTGCAGTATCTGGAAGTGGACATTTCGAGCGCTTTCAGGCCTATGGTGAACAAGGAAATATCTTCCCATGCAAACTAGACAGAAGCATTCCCAGAAACTTGTTTGTGATGTGTGTCCTCAACTCACAGAGTTGAACATTTCGTTTGACAGAGCAGTTTGGAAACACGATTTTTGTAGAATCTGCAAGTGGATATTTGGATGGCTTTGTGGATTTCGTTGGAAACGGGAGTATCTTCATAGAAAACCTAGACAGTAACATTCTCAGAAACGGCTTTGTGATATCCGCATTCACATCACAGAGTTGAACATTCCCTTTCATAGAGCAGGTTTGAAACACACTTTCTGTAGTATCTGGATGTGGGCACTTGGAGCGCTTGGACGCTTATGGTTAAAAAGGAAATATCGTCCCATAAAAACTAAACAGAAGCATTCTCACAAACTGCTTTGTGACGTATGTCGTCAGCTAACAGAGTTGAGCATTTCTATTCACAGAGCAGTTTTGAAAGACTCTTTTGGAGTATCTGCTAGTGGATATGTGGAGAGCTTTAAGGATTTCACTGGAAACCGGAATATCTTCAGGTAAAATCTAGACAGAGGCATTCTCAGAAACTTCTTTGTAATGTGTGTCCTCAACTAACAGTGTACAACCTATCTTTTGATACAGCACGTTGGAAACACTCTTTTTATAGAATCTGCAAGTGGATATTTGGATAGCTCTAACGATTTCGTTGGAAACGGGAATACCTTCATATAAAATCTAGACAGTGGCACTCTCAGAAACTGCTTTGTGATATCTGCATTCAAGCCACAGAGTTGAACATTTCCCTTCCTAAAGCAGGTTTGAAACACTCTTTCTGTCGTATCTGGAAGTGGACATTTGGAGCACTTTGACGCCTTTGGTGAAAAAGGAAATGTCTTCCCATCAAAACTAGACAGAAGCATTCTAAGAAACATTTTTGGGATATATGTACTGAACTAACAGAGTTGAACCTTTCTCTTTATAGATCAGTTTTGGAAAGCTCTTTATGTGGAATCTGCAGATGGATATTCGGATAGCTCTGAGGATTTCGTTGGAGACGGGAATACATAAAGAAAGTAGACAGCAGCATTCTCGGGAGATTCTTTGTGATGTTTGCTTTGAAGTCACAGAGTTGAATATTCCCTTCAATAGAGCAGGTTTGAAACACTCTTTCTGTAGTATCTGGAAGTGGCCATTTCGATCGATTTCAGGCCTATGTTGAAAAAGGAAATATCTCTACATAAAAACTAGACAGAAGCATTCTCAGAAACGTCTTTGTGATGTGTGTCCTCAACTAACAGAGTTCAACCTTTCTTATGATACAGCAGTTGGGAAACACTCTTTTTATAGAATTTGCAAGCTGATACATGGATAGCCCTAACTATTTCGTTGGAAACGGGAATATCTTCACATAAAACCTAGACAGAAGGACTCTCAGAAACTACTTTGTGATATCTGCATTGATATCAGAGAGTTGAATATTCCCTTTCAAAGGGCAGGTTTGAAAGCGTCTTTTCGTGGAATCTGCAGGAGGATATTTGGATAGCTTTGAGGATTACGTTGGAAACGGGATTACATATACAAAGTAGACAGCAGCATTCTCAGAAGCTTCTTTATGATGTTTGCGTTCAAGTCACAGAGTTGAACGTTCCCTTTCATAGAGCAGGTTTCAAACCCTCTTTCTGCAGTATCTGGAAGTGGACAGTTCGAGCGCTTTCAGGCCTATGGTGAACAAGGAAATATCTTCCCATGAAAACTAGACAGAAGCATTCGCAGAAACTTGTTTGTGATGTGTGTCCTCAACTCACAGAGTTGAACATTTCGTTTGACAGAGCAGTTTGGAAACACGATTTTGTAGAATCTGCAAGTAGATATTTGGATGGCTTTGTGGATTTCGTTGGAAACGGGAGTATCTTCATAGAAAACCTAGACAGTAACATTCTCAGAAACGGCTTTGTGATATCTGCATTGACGTCACAGAGTTGAACATTCCCTTTCATAGAGCAGGTTTGAAACACACTTTCTGTAGTATCTGGATGTGGGCACTTGGAGCGCTTGGACGCTTATGGTGAAAAAGGACATATCGTCCCATAAAAACCAGACAGAAGCATTCTCACAAACTGCTTTGTGACGTATGTCGTCAGCTAACAGAGTTGAGCATTTCTATTCACAGAGCAGTTTTGAAAGACTCTTTTGGAGTATCTGCTAGTGGATATGTGGAGAGCTTTAAGGATTTCACTGGAAACCGGAATATCTTCAGGTAAAAGCTAGACAGAGGCATTCTCAGAAACTTCTTTGTAATGTGTGTCCTCAACTAACAGTGTACAACCTATCTTTTGATACAGCACGTTGGAAACACTCTTTTTATAGAATCTGCAAGTGGATATTTGGATAGCTCTAACGATTTCGTTGGAAACGGGAATACCTTCATATAAAATCTAGACAGTGGCACTCTCAGAAACTGCTTTGTGATATCTGCATTCAAGCCACAGAGTTGAACATTTCCCTTCCTAAAGCAGGTTTGAAACACTCTTTCCGTCGTATCTGGAAGTGGACATTTGGAGCACTTTGACGCCTTTTGTGAAAAAGGAAATGTCTTCCCATGAAAACTAGACAGAAGCATTCAAAGAAACATTTTTGGGATATATGTACTCAACTAACAGAGTTGAACCTTTCTCTTTATAGATCAGTTTTGGAAAGCTCTTTATGTGGAATCTGCAGATGGATATTCGGATAGCTCTGAGGATTTCGTTGGAGACGGGAATACATAAAGAAACTAGACAGCAGCATTCTCGGGAGATTCTTTGTGATGTTTGCTTTGAAGTCACAGAGTTGAATATTCCCTTCAATAGAGCAGGTTTGAAACACTCTTTCCGTAGTATCTGGAAGTGGACATTTCGATCGATTTCAGGCCTATGTTGAAAAAGGAAATATCTTAACATAAAAACTAGACAGAAGCATTCTCAGAAACGTCTTTGTGATGTGTGTCCTCAACTAACAGAGTTCAACCTTTCTTATGATACGGCAGTTGGGAAACACTCTTTTTATAGAATTTGCAAGTTGATACATGGATAGCCCTAACTATTTCGTTGGAAACGGGAATATCTTCACATAAAACCTAGACAGAAGCACTCTCAGAAACTACTTTGTGATATCTGCATTGATATCAGAGAGTTGAATATTCCCCTTCTAAGGGCAGGCTTGAAAGCGTCTTTTCGTGGAATCTGCAGGAGGATATTTGGATAGCTTTGAGGGTTACGTTGGAAACGGGATTACATGTACAAAGCAGACAGCAGCATTCTCAGAAGCTGCTTTATGATGTTTGTTTTCAAGTCACAGAGTTCAACGTTCCCTTTCATAGAGCAGGTTTCAAACCCTCTTTCTGCAGTATCTGGAAGTGGACATTTCGAGCGCTGTCAGGCCTATGGTGAACAAGGAAATATCTTCCCATGCAAACTAGACAGAAGCATTCGCAGAAACTTGATTGTGATGTGTGTCCTCAACTCACGGAGTTGAACATTTCGTTTGACAGAGCAGTTTGGAAACACGATTTTTGTAGAATCTGCAAGTGGATATTTGGGTGGCTTTGTGGATTTCGTTGGAAACGGGAGTATCTTCACAGACAACCTAGACAGTAACATTCTCAGAAACGGCTTTGTGATATCCGCATTCACGTCACAGAGTTGAACATTCCCTTTCATAGAGCAGGTTTGAAACACCCTTTCTGTAGTTTCTGGATGTGGGCACTTGGAGCGCTTGGACGCTTATGGTGAAAAAGGAAATATCGTCCCATAAAAACTAGACAGAAGCATTCTCACAAACTGCTTTGTGACGTATGTCTTCAACTAACAGAGTTGAACATTTCTATTCACAGAGCAGTTTTGAAAGACTCTTTTGGAGTATCTGCTAGTGGATACTTGGAGAACTTTAAGGATTTCATTGGAAACCGGAATATCTTCAGGTAAAATCTAGACAGAGGCATTCTCAGAAACTTCTTCGTAATGTGTGTCCTCAACTAACAGTGTACAACCTATCTTTTGATACAGCACGTTGGAAACACTCTTTTTATAGAATCTGCAAGTGGATAGTTGGATAGCTCTAACGATTTCGTTGGAAACGGGAATACCTTCATATAAAATCTAGACAGTGGCACTCTCAGAAACTGCTTTGTGATATCTGCATTCAAGCCACAGAGTTGAACATTTCCCTTCCTAAAGCAGGTTTGAAACACTCTTTCTGTCGTATCTGGAAGTGGACATTTGGAGCACTTTGACGCCTTTGGTGAAAAAGGAAATGTCTTCCCATGAAAACTAGACAGAAGCATTCTAAGAAACATTTTTGGGATATACGTACTGAACTAAGAGAGATGAACCTTTCTCTTTATAGATCAGTTTTGGAAAGCTCTTTATGTGGAATCTGCAGATGGATATTCGGATAGCTCTGAGGATTTCGTTGGAGACGGGAATACATAAAGAAAGTAGACAGCAGCATTCTCAGGAGATCCTTAGTGATGTTTGCTTTTAAGTCACAGAGTTGAATATTCCCTTCAATAGAGCATGTTTGAAACACTCTTTCTGTAGTATCTGGAAGTGGACATTTCGATGGATTTCAGGCCTATGTTGAAAAAGGAAATACCTTAACATAAAAACTAGACAGAAGCATTCTCAGAAACGTCTTTGTGATGTGTGTCCTCAACTAACAGAGTTCAACCTTTCTTATGATACAGCAGTTTGGAAACACTCTTTTTATAGAATTTGCAAGTTGATACATGGATAGCCCTAACTATTTCGTTGGAAACGGGAATATCTTCATATAAAACCTAGGCAGAAGCACTCTCAGAAACTACTTTGTGATATCTGCATTGATATCAGAGAGTTGAATATTCCCTTTCTAAGGGCAGGCTTGAAAGCGTCTTTTTGTGGAATCTGCAGGAGGATATTTGGATAGCTTGGAAGGTTACGTTGGAAACGGGATTACATATACAAAGTAGACAGCAGCATTCTCAGAAGCTTCTTTGTGATGTTTGCTTTTAAGTCACAGAGTTGAACCTTCCCTTTCATAGAGCAGGTTTCAAACCCTCTTTCTGCAGTATCTGGAAGTGGACATTTCGAGCGCTTTCAGGCCCATGGTGAACAAGGAAATATCTTCCCATGCAAACTAGACAGAAGCATTCGCAGAAACTTGTTTGTGATGTGTGTCCTCAACTCACAGAGTTGAACATTTCGTTTGACAGAGCAGTTTGGAAACACGATTTTTGTAGAATCTGCAAGTGGATATTTGGATGGCTTTGTGGATTTCGTTGGAAACGGGAGTATCTTCATAGAAAACCTAGACAGTAACATTCTCAGAAACGGCTTTGTGATATCCGAATTCACGTCACAGAGTTGAACATTCCCTTTCATAGAGCAGGTTTGAAACACCCTTTCTGTAGTATCTGGATGTGGGCACTTGGAGCGCTTGGACGCTTATGGTGAAAAAGGAAATATCGTCCCATAAAAACTAGACAGAAGCATTCTCACAAACTGCTTTGAGACGTATGTCGTCAGCTAACAGAGTTGAACATTTCTATTCACAGAGCAGTTTTGAAAGACTCTTTTGGAGTATCTGCTAGTGGATATTTGGAGAGCTTTAAGGATTTCACCGGAAACCGGAATATCTTCAGGTAAAATCTAGACAGAGGCATTCTCAGAAACTTCTTTGTAATGTGTGTCCTCAACTAACAGTGTACAACCTATCTTTTGATACAGCACGTTGGAAACACTCTTTTTATAGAATCCGCAAGTGGATATTTGGATAGCTCTAACGATTTCGTTGGAAATGGGAGTACCTTCATATAAAATCTAGACAGTGGCACTCGCAGAAACTGCTTTGTGATATCTGCATTCAAGCCACAGAGTTGAACATTTCCCTTCCTAAAGCAGGTTTGAAACACTCTTTCTGTCGTATCTGGAAGTGGACATTTGGAGCACTTTGACGCCTTTGGTGAAAAAGGAAATGTCTTCCCATCAAAACTAGACAGAAGCATTCTAAGAAACATTTTTGGGATATATGTACTCAAGTAACAGAGTTGAACCTTTCTCTTTACAGATCAGTTTTGGAAAGCTCTTTATGTGGAATCTGCAGATGGATATTCGGATAGCTCTGAGGATTTCGTTGGAGACGGGAATACATAAAGAAAATAGACAGCAGCATTCTCGGGAGATTCTTTGTGATGTTTGCTTTTCAGTCACAGAGTTGAATATTCCCTTCAATAGAGCAGGTTTGAAACACTCTTTCTGTAGTATCTGGAAGTGGCCATTTCGATCGATTTCAGGCCTATGTTGAAAAAGGAAATATCTTAACATAAAAACTAGACAGAAGCATTCTCAGAAACGTCTTTGTGATGTGTGTCCTCAACTAACAGAGTTCAACCTTTCTTATGATACAGCAGTTGGGAAACACTCTTTTTATAGAATTTGCAAGTTGATACATGGATAGCCCTAACTATTTTGTTGGAAACGGGAATATCTTCACATAAAACCTAGACAGAAGCACTCTCAGAAACTACTTTGTGATATCTGCATTGATATCAGAGAGTTGAATATTCCCTTTCTAAGGGCAGGCTTGAAAGCGTCTTTTCCTGGAATCTGCAGGAGGATATTTGGATAGCTTTGAGGGTTACGTTGGAAACGGGATTACATGTACAAAGCAGACAGCAGCATTCTCAGAAGCTTCTTTATGATGTTTGCGTTCAAGTCACAGAGTTGAACGTTCCCTTTCATAGAGCAGGTTTCAAACCCTCTTTCTGCAGTATCTGGAAGTGGACATTTCGAGCGCTTTCAGGCCTATGGTGAACAAGGAAATATCTTCCCATGCAAACTAGACAGAAGCATTCGCAGAAACTTGTTTGTGATGTGTGTCCTCAACTCACAGAGTTGAACATTTCGTTTGACAGAGCAGTTTGGAAACACGATTTTTGTAGAATCTGCAAGTGGATATTTGGATGGCTTTGTGGATTTCGTTGGAAACGGGAGTATCTTCATAGAAAACCTAGACAGTAACATTCTCAGAAACGGCTTTGTGATATCCGCATTCACGTCACAGAGTTGAACATTCCCTTTCATAGAGCAGGTTTGAAACACCCTTTCTGAAGTATCTGGATGTGGGCACTTGCAGCTCTTGGACGCTTATGGTGAAAAAGGAAATATCGTCCCATAAAACCTAGACAGAAGCATTCTCACAAACTGCTTTGTGACGTATGTCGTCAGCTAACAGAGTTGAGCATTTCTATTCACAGAGCAGTTTTGAAAGACTCTTTTGGAGTATCTGCTAGTGGATATGTGGAGAGCTTTAAGGATTTCACTGGAAACCGGAATATCTTCAGGTAAAATCTAGACAGAGGCATTCTCAGAAACTTCTTTGTAATGTGTGTCCTCAACTAACAGTGTACAACCTATCTTTTGATACAGCACGTTGGAAACACTCTTTTTATAGAATCTGCAAGTGGATATTTTGATAGCTCTAACGATTTCGTTGGAAACGGGAATCCCTTCATATAAAATCTAGACAGTGGCACTCGCAGAAACTGCTTTGTGATATCTGCATTCAAGCCACAGAGTTGAACATTTCCCTTCCTAAAGCAGGTTTGAAACACTCTTTCTGTCGTATCTGGAAGTGGACATTTGGAGCACTTTGACGCCTTTGGTGAAAAAGGAAATGTCTTCCCATCAAAACTAGACAGAAGCATTCTAAGAAACATTTTTGGGATATATGTACTCAACTAACAGAGTTGAACCTTTCACTTTATAGATCAGTTTTGGAAAGCTCTTTATGTGGAATCTGCAGATGGATATTCGGATAGCTCTGAGGATTTCGTTGGAGACGGGAATACATAAAGAAAGTAGACAGCAGCATTCTCCGGAGATTCTTTGTGATGTTTGCTTTTCAGTCACAGAGTTGAATATTCCCTTCAATAGAGCAGGTTTGAAACACTCTTTCTGTAGTATCTGGAAGTGGCCATTTCGATCGATTTCAGGCCTATGTTGAAAAAGGAAATATCTTAACATAAAAACTAGACAGAAGCATTCTCAGAAACGTCTTTGTGATGTGTGTCCTCAACTAACAGAGTTCAACCTTTCTTATGATACAGCAGTTGGGAAACACTCTTTTTATAGAATTTGCAAGTTGATACATGGATAGCCCTAACTATTTCGTTGGAAACGGGAATATCTTCACATAAAACCTAGACAGAAGCACTCTCAGAAACTACTTTGTGATATCTGCATTGATATCAGAGAGTTGAATATTCCCTTTCTAAGGGCAGGCTTGAAAGCGTCTTTTCGTGGAATCTGCAGGAGGATATTTGGATAGCTTTGAGGGTTACGTTGGAAACGGGATTACATGTACAAAGCAGACAGCAGCATTCTCAGAAGCTTCTTTATGATGTTTGCGTTCAAGTCACAGAGTTGAACGTTCCCTTTCATAGAGCAGGTTTCAAACCCTCTTTCTGCAGTATCTGGAAGTGGACATTTCGAGCGCTTTCAGGCCTATGGTGAACAAGGAAATATCTTCCCATGCAAACTAGACAGAAGCATTCGCAGAAACTTGTTTGTGATGTGTGTCCTCAACTCACAGAGTTGAACATTTGGTTTGACAGAGCAGTTTGGAAACACGATTTTTGTAGAATCTGCAAGTGGATATTTGGATGGCTTTGTGGATTTCGTTGGAAACGGGAGTATCTTCATAGAAAACCTAGACAGTAACATTCTCAGAAACGGCTTTGTGATATCCGCATTCACGTCACAGAGTTGAACATTCCCTTTCATAGAGCAGGTTTGAAACACCCTTTCTGTAGTATCTGGATGTGGGCACTTGGAGCTCTTGGACGCTTATGGTGAAAAAGGAAATATCGTCCCATAAAACCTAGACAGAAGCATTCTCACAAACTGCTTTGTGACGTATGTCGTCAGCTAACAGAGTTGAGCATTTCTATTCACAGAGCAGTTTTGAAAGACTCTTTTGGAGTATCTGCTAGTGGATATGTGGAGAGCTTTAAGGATTTCACTGGAAACCGGAATATCTTCAGGTAAAATCTAGACAGAGGCATTCTCAGAAACTTCTTTGTAATGTGTGTCCTCAACTAACAGTGTACAACCTATCTTTTGATACAGCACGTTGGAAACACTCTTTTTATAGAATCTGCAAGTGGATATTTGGATAGCTCTAACGATTTCGTTGGAAACGGGAATACCTTCATATAAAATCTAGACAGTGGCACTCGCAGAAACTGCTTTGTGATATCTGCATTCAAGCCACAGAGTTGAACATTTCCCTTCCTAAAGCAGGTTTGAAACACTCTTTCTGTCGTATCTGGAAGTGGACATTTGGAGCACTTTGACGCCTTTGGTGAAAAAGGAAATGTCTTCCCATCAAAACTAGACAGAAGCATTCTAAGAAACATTTTTGGGATATATGTACTCAACTAACAGAGTTGAACGTTTCTCTTTATAGATCAGTTTTGGAAAGCTCTTTATGTGGAATCTGCAGATGGATATTCGGATAGCTCTGAGGATTTCGTGGGAGACGGGAATATATAAAGAAAGTAGACAGCAGCATTCTCAGGAGATTCTTTGTGATGTTTGCTTTGAAGTCACAGAGTTGAATATTCCCTTCAATAGAGCAGGTTTGAAACACTCTTTCCGTAGTATCTGGAATTGGACATTTCGATCGATTTCAGGCCTATGTTGAAAAAGGAAATATCTTAACATAAAAACTAGACAGAAGCATTCTCAGAAACGTCTTTGTGATGTGTGTCCTCAACTAACAGAGTTCAACCTTTCTTATGATACAGCAGTTTGGAAACACTCTTTTTATAGAATTTGCAAGTTGATACATGGATAGCCCTAACTATTTCGTTGGAAACGGGAATATCTTCATATAAAACCTAGGCAGAAGCACTCTCAGAAACTACTTTGTGATATCTGCATTGATATCAGAGAGTTGAATATTCCCTTTCTAAGGGCAGGCTTGAAAGCGTCTTTTTGTGGAATCTGCAGGAGGATATTTGGATAGCTTGGAGGGTTACGTTGGAAACGGGATTACATATACAAAGTAGACAGCAGCATTCTTAGAAGCTTCTTTGTGATGTTTGCGTTTAAGTCACAGAGTTGAACGTTCCCTTTCATAGAGCAGGTTTCAAACCCTCTTTCTGCAGTATCTGGAAGTGGACATTTCGAGCGCTTTCAGGCCCATGGTGAACAAGGAAATATCTTCCCATGCAAACTAGACAGAAGCATTCGTAGAAACTTGTTTGTGATGTGTGTCATCAACTCACAGAGTTGAACATTTCGTTTGACAGAGCAGTTTGGAAACACGATTCTTGTAGAATCTGCAAGTGGATATTTGGATGGCTTTGTGGATTTCGTTGGAAACGGGAGTATCTTCATAGACAACCTAGACAGTATCATTCTCAGAAACTGCTTTGTGATATCTGCATTCACGTCACAGAGTTGAACATTCCTTTTCATAGAGCAGGTTTGAAACACTCTTTCTGTAGTATCTGGATCTGGACACTTGGAGCGCTTGGACGCTTACGGTGAAAAAGGAAATATCTTCCCATAAAAACTAGACAGAAGCATTCTCACAAACTGCTTTGTGACGTATGTCTTCAACTAACAGAGTTGAACATTTCTATTCACAGAGCAGTTTTGAAAGACTCTTTTGGAGTATCTGCTAGTGGATATTTGGAGAGTTTAAGGATTTCATTGGAAACCGGAATATCTTCAGGTAAAATCTAGACAGAGGCATTCTCAGAAACTTCTTTGTCATGTGTGTCCTCAACTAACAGTGTACAACCTATCTTTTGATACAGCACGTTGGAAACACTCTTTTTATAGAATCTGCAAGTGGATAGTTGGATAGCTCTAACGATTTCGTTGGAAACGGGAATACCTTCATATGAAATCTAGACAGTGGCACTCTCAGAAACTGCTTTGTGATATCTGCATTCAAGCCACAGAGTTGAACATTTCCCTTCCTAAAGCAGGTTTGAAACACTCTTTTTGTCGTATCTGGAAGTGGACATTTGGAGCACTTTGACGCCTTTGGTGAAAAAGAAAATGTCTTCCCATGAAAACTAGACAGAAGCATTCTAAGAAACATTTTTGGGATATATGTACTCAACTAACAGAGTTGAACCTTTCTCTTTATAGATCAGTTTTGGAAAGCTCTTTATGTGGAATCTGCAGATGGATATTCGGATAGCTCTGAGGATTTCGTTGGAGACGGGAATACATAAAGAAAGTAGACAGCAGCATTCTCAGGAGATACTTTGTGATGTTTGCTTTTAAGTCACAGAGTTGAATATTCCCTTCAATAGAGCAGGTTTGAAACACTCCTTCTGTAGTATCTGGAAGTGGACATTTCGATCGATTTCAGGCCTATGTTGAAAAAGGAAATACCTTAACATCAAAACTAGACAGAAGCATTCTCAGAAACGTCTTTGTGATGTGTGTCCTCAACTAACAGATTTCAACCTTTCTTATGATACAGCAGTTTGGAAACACTCTTTTTATAGAATTTGCAAGTTGATACATGGATAGCCCTAACTATTTCGTTGGAAACGGGAATATCTTCATATAAAACCTAGGCAGAAGCACTCTCAGAAACTACTTTGTGATATCTGCATTGATATCAGAGAGTTGAATATTCCCTTTCTAAGGGCAGGCTTGAAAGCGTCTTTTTGTGGAATCTGCAGGAGGATATTTGGATAGCTTGGAGGGTTACGTTGGAAACGGGATTACATATACAAAGTAGACAGCAGCATTCTCAGAAGCTTCTTTGTGATGTTTGCGTTTAAGTCACAGAGTTGAACGTTCCCTTTCATAGAGCAGGTTTCAAACCCTCTTTCTGCAGTATCTGGAAGTGGACATTTCGAGCGCTTTCAGGCCCATGGTGAACAAGGAAATATCTTCCCATGCAAACTAGACAGAAGCATTCGCAGAAACTTGTTTGTGATGTGTGTCCTCAACTCACGGAGTTGAACATTTCGTTTGACAGAGCAGTTTGGAAACACGATTTTTGTAGAATCTGCAAGTGGATATTTGGATGGCTTTGTGGATTTCGTTGGAAACGGGAGTATCTTCACAGACAACCTAGACAGTAACATGCTCAGAAACTGTTTTGTGATATCTGCATTCACGTCACAGTGTTGAACATTCCCTTTCATAGAGCAGGTTTGAAACACACTTTCTGTAGTATCTGGATGTGGGCACTTGGAGCGTTTGGACGCTTGTGGTGAAAAAGGACATATCGTCCCATAAAAACTGGACAGAAGCATTCTCACAAACTGCTTTGTGACGTATGTCTTCAACTAACAGAGTTGAACATTTCTATTCACAGAGCAGTTTTGAAAGACTCTTTTGGAGTATCTGCTAGTGGATACTTGGAGAGTTTAAGGATTTCATTGGAAACCGGAATATCTTCAGGTAAAATCTAGACAGAGGCATTCTCAGAAACTTCTTCGTAATGTGTGTCCTCAACTAACAGTGTACAACCTATCTTTTGATACAGCACGTTGGAAACACTCTTTTTATAGAATCTGCAAGTGGATAGTTGGATAGCTCTAACGATTTCGTTGGAAACGGGAATACCTTTATATAAAATGCTAGACAGTGGCACTCTCAGAAACTGCTTTGTGATATCTGCATTCAAGCCACAGAGTTGAACATTTCCCTTCCTAAAGCAGGTTTGAAACACTCTTTCTGTCGTATCTGGAAGTGGACATTTGGAGCACTTTGACGCCTTTGGTGAAAAAGGAAATGTCTTCCCATGAAAACTAGACAGAAGCATTCTAAGAAACATTTTTGGGATATATGTACTCAATTAACAGAGTTGAACCTTTCTCTTTATAGATCAGTTTTGGAAAGCTCTTTATGTGGAATCTGCAGATGGATATTCGGATAGCTCTGAGGATTTCGTTGGAGACGGGAATACATAAAGAAAGTAGACAGCAGCATTCTCAGGAGATTCTTTGTGATGTTTGCTTCTAAGTCACAGAGTTGAATATTCCCTTCAATAGAGCAGGTTTTAAACACTCTTTCTGTAGTATCTGGAAGTGGACATTTCGATCGATTTCAGGCCTATGTTGAAAAAGGAAATACCTTAACATCAAAACTAGACAGAAGCATTCTCAGAAACGTCTTTGTGATGTGTGTCCTCAACTAACAGAGTTCAACCTTTCTTATGATACAGCAGTTTGGAAACACTCTTTTTATAGAATTTGCAAGTTGATACATGCATAGCCCTAACTATTTCGTTGGAAACGGGAATATCTTCATATAAAACCTAGACAGAAGCACTCTCAGAAACTACTTTGTGATATCTGCATTGATATCAGAGAGTTGAATATTCCCTTTCTAAGGGCAGGCTTGAAAGCGTCTTTTCGTGGAATCTGCAGGAGGATATTTGGATAGCTTTGAGGGTTACGTTGGAAACGGGATTACATGTACAAAGCAGACAGCAGCATTCTCAGAAGCTTCTTTATGATGTTTGCGTTCAAGTCACAGAGTTGAACGTTCCCTTTCATAGAGCAGGTTTCAAACCCTCTTTCTGCAGTATCTGGAAGTGGACATTTCGAGCGCTTTCAGGCCTATGGTGAACAAGGAAATATCTTCCCATGCAAACTAGACAGAAGCATTCGCAGAAACTTGTTTGTGATGTGTGTCCTCAACTCACAGATTTGAACATTTCGTTTGACAGAGCAGTTTGGAAACACGATTTTTGTAGAATCTGCAAGTGGATATTTGGATGGCTTTGTGGATTTCATTGGAAACGGGAGTATCTTCATAGAAAACCTAGACAGTAACATTCTCAGAAACTGCTTTGTGATATCCGCATTCACGTCACAGAGTTGAACTTTCCCTCTCATAGAGCAGGCTTGAAACACACTTTCTGTAGTATCTGGATGTGGGCACTTGGAGCGCTTGGACGCTTATGGTGAAAAAGGAAATATCGTCCCATAAAAACTAGACAGAAGCATTCTCACAAACTGCTTTGAGACGTATGTCGTCAGCTAACAGAGTTGAACATTTCTATTCACAGAGCAGTTTTGAAAGACTCTTTTGGAGTATCTGCTAGTGGATATTTGGAGAGCTTTAAGGATTTCACCGGAAACAGGAATAACTTCAGGTAAAATCTAGACAGAGGCATTCTCAGAAACTTCTTTGTAATGTGTGTCCTCAACTAACAGTGTACAACCTATCTTTTGATACAGCACGTTGGAAACACTCTTTTTATAGAATCTGCAAGTGGATATTTGGATAGCTCTAACGATTTCGTTGGAAACGGGAATACCTTCATATAAAATCTAGACAGTGGCACTCTCAGAAACTGCTTTGTGATATCTGCATTCAAGCCACAGAGTTGAACATTTCCCTTCCTAAAGCAGGTTTGAAACACTCTTTCTGTCGTATCTGGAAGTGGACATTTGGAGCACTTTGACGCCTTTGGTGAAAAAGGAAATGTCTTCCCATCAAAACTAGACAGAAGCATTCTAAGAAACATTTTTGGGATATATGTACTCAACTAACAGAGTTGAACCTTTCTCTTTATAGATCAGTTTTGGAAAGCTCTTTATGTGGAATCTGCAGATGGATATTCGGATAGCTCTGAGGATTTCGTTGGAGACGGGAATACATAAAGAAAGTAGACAGCAGCATTCTCAGGAGATTCTTTGTGATGTTTGCTTCTAAGTCACAGAGTTGAATATTCCCTTCAATAGAGCAGGTTTGAAACACTCTTTCTGTAGTATCTGGAAGTGGACATTTCGATCGATTTCAGGCCTATGTTGAAAAAGGAAATACCTTAACATAAAAACTAGACAGAAGCATTCTCAGAAACGTCTTTGTGATGTGTGTCCTCAACTAACAGAGTTCAACCTTTCTTATGATACAGCAGTTTGGAAACACTCTTTTTATAGAATTTGCAAGTTGATACATGGATAGCCCTAACTATTTCGTTGGAAACGGGAATATCTTCATATAAAACCTAGGCAGAAGCACTCTCAGAAACTACTTTGTGATATCTGCATTGATATCAGAGAGTTGAATATTCCCTTTCTAAGGGCAGGCTTGAAAGCGTCTTTTCGTGGAATCTGCGGGAGGATATTTGGATAGCTTTGAGGGTTACGTTGGAAACGGGATTACATATACAAAGTAGACAGCAGCATTCTCAGAAGCTTCTTTGTGATGTTTGCGTTTAAGTCACAGAGTTGAACGTTCCCTTTCATAGAGCAGGTTTCAAACCCTCTTTCTGCAGTATCTGGAAGTGGACATTTCGAGCGCTTTCAGGCCCATGGTGAACAAGGAAATATCTTCCCATGCAAACTAGACAGAAGCATTCGCAGAAACTTGTTTGTGATGTGTGTCCTCAACTCACGGAGTTGAACATTTCGTTTGACAGAGCAGTTCGGAAACACGATTTTTGTAGAATCTTCAAGTGGATATTTGGATGGCTTTGTGGATTTCGTTGGAAACGGGAGTATCTTCATAGACAACCTAGACAGTAACATGCTCAGAAACTGCTTTGTGATATCTGCATTCACGTCACCGAGTTGAACATTCCCTTTCATAGAGCAGGTTTGAAACACACTTTCTGTAGTATCTGGATGTGGGCACTTGGAGCGCTTGGACGCTTATGGTGAAAAAGAACATATCGTCCCATAAAAACTGGACAGAAGCATTCTCACAAACTGCTTTGTGACGTATGTCTTCAACTAACAGAGTTGAACATTTCTATTCACAGAGCAGTTTTGAAAGACTCTTTTGGAGTATCTGCTAGTTTATATTTGGAGAGCCTTAAGGATTTCATTGGAAACCGGAATATCTTCAGGTAAAATCTAGACAGAGGCATTCTCAGAAACTTCTTCGTAATGTGTGTCCTCAACTAACAGTGTACAACCTATCTTTTGATACAGCACGTTGGAAACACTCTTTTTATAGAATCTGCAAGTGGATAGTTGGATAGCTCTAAAGATTTCGTTGGAAACGGGAATACCTTCATATAAAATCTAGACAGTGGCACTCTCAGAAACTGCTTTGTGATATCTGCATTCAAGCCACAGAGTTGAACATTTCCCTTCCTGAAGCAGGTTTGAAACACTCTTTTTGTCGTATCTGGAAGTGGACATTTGGAGCACTTTGACGCCTTTGGTGAAAAAGGAAATGTCTTCCCATGAAAACTAGACAGAAGCATTCTAAGAAACATTTTTGGGATATATGTACTCAACTAACAGAGTTCAACCTTTCTCTTTATATATCAGTTTTGGAAAGCTCTTTATGTGGATTCTGCAGATGGATATTCGGATAGCTCTGAGGATTTCGTTGGAGACGGGAATACATAAAGAAAGTAGACAGCAGCATTCTCAGGAGATTCTTTGTGATGTTTGCTTCTAAGTCACAGAGTTGAATATTCCCTTCAATAGAGCAGGTTTTAAACACTCTTTCTGTAGTATCTGGAAGTGGACATTTCGATCGATTTCAGGCCTATGTTGAAAAAGGAAATACCTTAACATAAAAACTAGACAGAAGCATTCTCAGAAACGTCTTTGTGATGTGTGTCCTCAACTAACAGAGTTCAACCTTTCTTATGATACAGCAGTTTGGAAACACTGTTTTTATAGAATTTGCAAGTTGATACATGGATAGCCCTAACTATTTCGTTGGAAACGGGAATATCTTCATATAAAACCTAGACAGAAGCATTCTCAGAAACTACTTTGTGATATCTGCATTGATATCAGAGAGTTGAATATTCCCTTTCTAAGGGCAGGCTTGAAAGCGTCTTTTCGTGGAATCTGCAGGAGGATATTTGGATAGCTTTGAGGGTTACGTTGGAAACGAGATTACATATACAAAGTAGACAGCAGCATTCTCAGAAGCTTCTTTGTGATGTTTGCGTTTAAGTCACAGAGTTGAACGTTCCCTTTCATAGAGCAGGTTTCAAACCCTCTTTCTGCAGTATCTGGAAGTGGACATTTCGAGCGCTTTCAGGCCCATGGTGAACAAGGAAATATCTTCCCATGCAAACTAGACAGAAGCATTCGCAGAAACTTGTTTGTGATGTGTGTCCTCAACTCACGGAGTTGAACATTTCGTTTGACAGAGCAGTTTGGAAACACGATTTTTGTAGAATCTGCAAGTGGATATTTGGATGGCTTTGTGGATTTCGTTGGAAACGGGAGTATCTTCATAGACAACCTAGACAGTAACATGCTCAGAAACTGCTTTGTGATATCTGCATTCACGTCACAGAGTTGAACATTCCCTTTCATAGAGCAGGTTTGAAACACACTTTCTGTAGTATCTGGATGTGGGCACTTGGAGCGCTTGGACGCTTATGGTGAAAAAGGACATATCGTCCCATAAAAACTGGAGAGAAGCATTCTCACAAACTGCTTTGTGACGTATGTCTTCAACTAACAGAGTTGAACATTTCTATTCACAGAGCAGTTTTGAAAGACTCTTTTGGAGTATCTGCTAGTGGATATTTGGAGAGTTTAAGGATTTCATTGGAAACCGGAATATCTTCAGGTAAAATCTAGACAGAGGCATTCTCAGAAACTTCTTCGTAATGTGTGTCCTCAACTAACAGTGTACAACCTATCTTTTGATACAGCACGTTGGAAACACTCTTTTTATAGAATCTGCAAGTGGATATTTGGATAGCTCTAACGATTTCGTTGGAAACGGGAATACCTTCATATAAAATCTAAACAGTGGCACTCTCAGAAACTGCTTTGTGATATCTGCATTCAAGCCACAGAGTTGAACATTTCCCTTCCTAAAGCAGGTTTGAAACACTCTTTTTGTCGTATCTGGAAGTGGACATTTGGAGCACTTTGACGCCTTTGGTGAAAAAGGAAATGTCTTCCCATCAAAACTAGACAGAAGCATTCTAAGAAACATTTTTGGGATATATGTACTCAACTAACAGAGTTGAACCTTTCTCTTTATAGATCAGTTTTGGAAAGCTCTTTATGTGGAAACTGCAAATGGATATTCGGATAGCTCTGAGGATTTCGTTGGAGACGGGAATACATAAAGAAAGTAGACAGCAGCATTCTCAGGAGATTCTTTGTGATGTTTGCTTTTAAGTCACAGAGTTGAATATTCCCTTCAATAGAGCAGGTTTGAAACACTCTTTCTGTAGTATCTGGAAGTGGACATTTCGATCGATTTCAGGCCTATGTTGAAAAAGAAATATCTCTACATAAAAACTAGACAGAAGCATTCTCAGAAACGTCTTTGTGATGTGTGTCCTCAACTAACAGAGTTCAACCTTTCTTATGATACAGCAGTTTGGAAACACTCTTTTTATAGAATTTGCATGTTGATATATGGATAGCCCTAACTATTTCGTTGGAAACGGGAATATCTTCATATAAAACCTAGACAGAAACACTCTCAGAAACTACTTTGTGATATCTGCATTGATATCAGAGAGTTGAATATTCCCTTTCTAAGGGCAGGTTTGAAAGCGTCTTTTCGTGGAATCTGCAGGAGGATATTTGGATAGCTTTGAGGATTACGTTGGAAACGGGATTACATATACAAAGTAGACAGCAGCATTCTCAGAAGCTTCGTCATGATGTTTGCGTTTAAGTCACAGAGTTGAACGTTCCCTTTCATAGAGCAGGTTTCAAACCCTCTTTCTGCAGTATCTGGAAGTGGACATTTCGAGCGCTTTCAGGCCTATGGTGAACAAGGAAATATCTTCCCATGCAAACTAGACAGAAGCATTCGCAGAAACTTGTTTGTGATGTGTGTCCTCAACTCACAGAGTTGAACATTTCGTTTGACAGAGCAGTTTGGAAACACGATTTTTGTAGAATCTGCAAGTGGATATTTGGATGGCTTTGTGGATTTCGTTGGAAACGGGAGTATCTTCATAGAAAACCTAGACAGTAACATTCTCAGAAACTGCTTTGTGATATCTGCATTCACGTCACAGAGTAGAACATTCCCTTTCATAGAGCACGTTTGAAACACACTTTCTGTAGTATCTGGATGTGGACACTTGGAGCGCTTGGACGCTTATGGTGAAAAAGGAAATATCGTCCCATAAAAACTAGACAGAAGCATTCTCACAAACTGCTTTGTGACGTATGTCTTCAACTAACAGAGCTGAACATTTCTATTTACAGAGCAGTTTTGAAAGACTCTTTTGGAGTATCTGCTAGTGGATATTTGGAGAGCTTTAAGGATTTCAGTGGAAACCGGAATGTCTTCAGGTAAAATCTAGACAGAGGCATTCTCAGAAACTTCTTCGTAATGTGTGTCCTCAACTAACAGTGTACAACCTATCTTTTGATACAGCACGTTGGAAACACTCTTTTTATAGAATCTGCAAGTGGATATTTGGATAGCTCTAACGATTTCGTTGGAAACGGGAATACCTTCATATAAAATCTAGACAGTGGCACTCTCAGAAACTGCTTTGTGATATCTGCATTCAAGCCACAGAGTTGAACATTTCCCTTCCTAAAGCAGGTTTGAAACACTCTTTTTGTCGTATCTGGAAGTGGACATTTGGAGCACTTTGACGCCTTTCGTGAAAAAGGAAATGTCTTCCCATCAAAACTAGACAGAAGCATTCTAAGAAACATTTTTGGGATATATGTACTCAACTAACAGAGTTGAACCTTTCTCTTTATAGATCAGTTTTGGAAAGCTCTTTATGTGGAAACTGCACATGGATATTCGGATAGCTCTGAGGATTTCGTTGGAGACGGGAATACATAAAGAAAGTAGACAGCAGCATTCTCGGGAGATTCTTTGTGATGTTTGCTTTGAAGTCACAGAGTTGAATATTCCCTTCAATAGAGCAGGTTTGAAACACTCTTTCTGTAGTATCTGGAAGTGGCCATTTCGATCGATTTCAGGCCTATGTTGAAAAAGGAAATATCTCTACATAAAAACTAGACAGAAGCATTCTCAGAAACGTCTTTGTGATGTGTGTCCTCAACTAACAGAGTTCAACCTTTCTTATGATACAGCAGTTTGGAAACACTCTTTTTATAGAATTTGCAAGTTGATACATGGATAGCCCTAACTATTTCGTTGGAAACGGGAATATCTTCATATAAAACCTAGGCAGAAGCACTCTCAGAAACTACTTTGTGATATCTGCATTGATATCAGAGAGTTGAATATTCCCTTTCTAAGGGCAGGCTTGAAAGCGTCTTTTTGTGGAATCTGCAGGAGGATATTTGGATAGCTTTGAGGGTTACGTTGGAAACGGGATTACATATACAAAGTAGACAGCAGCATTCTCAGAAGCTTCTTTGTGATGTTTGCGTTTAAGTCACAGAGTTGAACGTTCCCTTTCATAGAGCAGGTTTCAAACCCTCTTTCTGCAGTATCTGGAAGTGGACATTTCGAGCGCTTTCAGGCCCATGGTGAACAAGGAAATATCTTCCCATGCAAACTAGACAGAAGCATTCGCAGAAACTTGTTTGTGATGTGTGTCCTCAACTCACGGAGTTGAACATTTCGTTTGACAGAGCAGTTTGGAAACACGATTTTTGTAGAATCTGCAAGTGGATATTTGGATAGCTTTGTGGATTTCGTTGGAAACGGGAGTATCTTCATAGACAACCTAGACAGTAACATGCTCAGAAACTGCTTTGTGATATCTGCATTCACGTCACAGAGTTGAACATTCCCTTTCATAGAGCAGGTTTGAAACACACTTTCTGTAGTATCTGGATGTGGGCACTTGGAGCGCTTGGACGCTTATGGTGAAAAAGGATATATCGTCCCATAAAAACTGGAAAGAAGCATTCTCACAAACTGCTTTGTGACGTATGTCTTCAACTAACAGAGTTGAACATTTCTATTTACAGAGCAGTTTTGAAAGACTCTTTTGGAGTATCTGCTAGTGGATATTTGGAGAGCTTTAAGGATTTCATTGGAAACCGGAATATCTTCAGGTAAAATCTAGACAGAGGCATTCTCAGAAACTTCTTCGTAATGTGTGTCCTTAACTAACAGTGTACAACCTATCTTTTGATACAGCACGTTGGAAACACTCTTTTTATAGAATCTGCAAGTGGATAGTTGGATAGCTCTAAAGATTTCGTTGGAAACGGGAATACCTTCATATAAAATCTAGACAGTGGCACTCTCAGAAACTGCTTTGTGATATCTGCATTCAAGCCACAGAGTTGAACATTTCCCTTCCTAAAGCAGGTTTGAAACACTCTTTTTGTCGTATCTGGAAGTGGACATTTGGAGCACTTTGACGCCTTTGGTGAAAAAGGAAATGTCTTCCCATGAAAACTAGACAGAAGCATTCTAAGAAACATTTTTGGGATATATGTACTCAACTAACAGAGTTGAACCTTTCTCTGTATAGATCAGTTTTGGAAAGCTCTTTATGTGGAATCTGCAGATGGATATTCGGATAGATCTGAGGATTTCGTTGGAGACGGGAATACATAAAGAAAGTAGACAGCAGCAATCTCAGGAGATTCTTTGTGATGTTTGCTTTTAAGTCACAGAGTTGAATATTCCCTTCAATAGAGCAGGTTTGAAACACTCTTTCTGTAGTATCTGGAAGTGGACATTTCGATCGATTTCAGGCCTATGTTGAAAAAGGAAATACCTTAACATAAAAACTAGACAGAAGCATTCTCAGAAACGTCTTTGTGATGTGTGTCCTCAACTAACAGAGTTCAACCTTTCTTATGATACAGCAGTTTGGAAACACTCTTTTTATAGAATTTGCAAGTTGATACATGGATAGCCCTAACTATTTCGTTGGAAACGGGAATATCTTCATATAAAACCTAGGCAGAAGCACTCTCAGAAACTACTTTGTGATATCTGCATTGATATCAGAGAGTTGAATATTCCCTTTCTAAGGGCAGGCTTGAAAGCGTCTTTTTGTGGAATCTGCAGGAGGATATTTGGATAGCTTTGAGGGTTACGTTGGAAACGGGATTACATATACAAAGTAGACAGCAGCATTCTCAGAAGCTTCTTTGTGATGTTTGCTTTTAAGTCACAGAGTTGAACGTTCCCTTTCATAGAGCAGGTTTCAAACCCTCTTTCTGCAGTATCTGGAAGTGGACATTTCGAGCGCTTTCAGGCCCATGGTGAACAAGGAAATATCTTCCCAAGCAAACTAGACAGAAGCATTCGCAGAAACTTGATTGTGATGTGTGTCCTCAACTCACGGAGTTGAACATTTCGTTTCACAGAGCAGTTTGGAAACACGATTTTTGTAGAATCTGCAAGTGGATATTTGGATGGCTTTGTGGATTTCGTTGGAAACGGGAGTATCTTCACAGACAACCTAGACAGTAACATGCTCAGAAACTGCTTTGTGATATCTGCATTCACGTCACAGAGTTGAACATTCCCTTTCATAGAGCAGGTTTGAAACACACTTTCTGTAGTATCTGGATGTGGGCACTTGGAGCGCTTGGACGCTTATGGTGAAAAAGGACATATCGTCCCATAAAAACTGGACAGAAGCATTCTCACAAACTGCTTTGTGACGTATGTCTTCAACTAACAGAGTTGAACATTTCTATTTACAGAGCAGTTTTGAAAGACTCTTTTGGAGTATCTGCTAGTGGATATTTGGAGAGCTTTAAGGATTTCATTGGAAACCGGAATATCTTCAGGTAAAATCTAGACAGAGGCATTCTCAGAAACTTCTTCGTAATGTGTGTCCTCAACTAACAGTGTACAACCTATCTTTTGATACAGCACGTTGGAAACACTCTTTTTATAGAATCTGCAAGTGGATAGTTGGATAGCTCTAACGATTTCGTTGGAAACGGGAATACCTTCATATAAAATCTAGACAGTGGCACTCTCAGAAACTGCTTTGTGATATCTGCATTCAAGCCACAGAGTTGAACATTTCCCTTCCTGAAGCAGGTTTGAAACACTCTTTTTGTCGTATCTGGAAGTGGACATTTGGAGCACTTTGACGCCTTTGGTGAAAAAGGAAATGTCTTCCCATGAAAACTAGACAGAAGCATTCTAAGAAACATTTTTGGGATATATGTACTCAACTAACAGAGTTCAACCTTTCTCTTTATATATCAGTTTTGGAAAGCTCTTTATGTGGAATCTGCAGATGGATATTCGGATAGCTCTGAGGATTTCGTTGGAGACGGGAATACATAAAGAAAGTAGACAGCAGCATTCTCAGGAGATTCTTTGTGATGTTTGCTTTTAAGTCACAGAGTTGAATATTCCCTTCAATAGAGCAGGTTTGAAACACTCTTTCTGTAGTATCTGGAAGTGGACATTTTGATCGATTTCAGGCCTATGTTGAAAAAGGAAATACCTTAACATCAAAACTAGACAGAAGCATTCTCAGAAACGTCTTTGTGATGTGTGTCCTCAACTAACAGAGTTCAACCTTTCTTATGATACAGCAGTTTGGAAACACTCTTTTTATAGAATTTGCAAGTTGATACATGGATAGCCCTAACTATTTCGTTGGAAACGGGAATATCTTCATATAAAACCTAGGCAGAAGCACTCTCAGAAACTACTTTGTGATATCTGCATTGATATCAGAGAGTTGAATATTCCCTTTCTAAGGGCAGGCTTGAAAGCGTCTTTTTGTGGAATCTGCAGGAGGATATTTGGATACCTTGGAGGGTTACGTTGGAAACGGGATTACATATACAAAGTAGACAGCAGCATTCTCAGAAGCTTCTTTGTGATGTTTGCGTTTAAGTCACAGAGTTGAACGTTCCCTTTCATAGAGCAGGTTTCAAACCCTCTTTCTGCAGTATCTGGAAGTGGACATTTCGAGCGCTTTCAGGCCCATGGTGAACAAGGAAATATCTTCCCATGCAAACTAGACAGAAGCATTCGCAGAAACTTGTTTGTGATGTGTGTCCTCAACTCACGGAGTTGAACATTTCGTTTGACAGAGCAGTTTGGAAACACGATGTTTGTAGAATCTGCAAGTGGATATTTGGATGGCTTTGTGGATTTCGTTGGAAACGGGAGTATCTTCATAGACAACCTAGACAGTAACATGCTCAGAAACTGTTTTGTGATATCTGCATTTACGTCACAGAGTTGAACATTCCCTTTCATAGAGCAGGTTTGAAACACACTTTCTGTAGTATCTGGATGTGGGCACTTGGAGCGCTTGGACGCTTATGGTGAAAAAGGACATATCGTCCATAAAAACTGGACAGAAGCATTCTCACAAACTGCTTTGTGACGTATGTCTTCAACTAACAGAGTTGAACATTTCTATTCACAGAGCAGTTTTGAAAGACTCTTTTGGAGTATCTGCTAGTGGATATTTGGAGAGCTTTAAGGATTTCATTGGAAACCGGAATATCTTCAGGTAAAATCTAGACAGAGGCATTCTCAGAAACTTCTTCATAATGTGTGTCCTCAACTAACAGTGTACAACCTATCTTTTGATACAGCACGTTGGAAACACTCTTTTTATAGAATCTGCAAGTGGATAGTTGGATAGCTCTAACGATTTCTTTGGAAACGGGAATACCTTCATATAAAATCTAGACAGTGGCACTCTCAGAAACTGCTTTGTGATATCTGCATTCAAGCCACTGAGTTGAACATTTCCCTTCCTAAAGCAGGTTTGAAACACTCTTTTTGTCGTATCTGGAAGTGGACATTTGGAGCACTTTGGCGCCTTTGGTGAAAAAGGAAATGTCTTCCCATGAAAACTAGACAGAAGCATTCTAAGAAACATTTTTGGGATATATGTACTCAACTAACAGAGTTGAACCTTTCTCTTTATAGATCAGCTTTGGAAAGCTCTTTATTTGGGATCTGCAGATGGATATTCAGATAGCTCTGAGGATTTCGTCGGAGACGGGAATACATAAAGAAAGTAGACAGCAGCATTCTCGGGAGATTCTTTGTGATGTTTGCTTTTAAGTCACAGAGTTGAATATTCCCTTCAATAGAGCAGGCTTGAAACACTCTTTCTGTAGTATCTGGAAGTGGCCATTTCGATCGATTTCAGGCCTATGTTGAAAAAGGAAATATCTTAACATAAAAACTAGACAGAAGCATTCTCAGAAACGTCTTTGTGATGTGTGTCCTCAACTAACAGAGTTCAACCTTTCTTATGATACAGCAGTTTGGAAACACTCTTTTTATAGAATTTGCATGTTGATATATGGATAGCCCTAACTATTTCGTTGGAAACGGGAATATCTTCATATAAAACCTAGACAGAAACACTCTCAGAAACTACTTTGTGATATCTGCATTGATATCAGAGAGTTGAATATTCCCTTTCTAAGGGCAGGTTTGAAAGCGTCTTTTCGTGGAATCTGCAGGAGGATATTTGGATAGCTTTGAGGATTACGTTGGAAACGGGATTACATATACAAAGTAGACAGCAGCATTCTCAGAAGCTTCGTCATGATGTTTGCGTTTAAGTCACAGAGTTGAACGTTCCCTTTCATAGAGCAGGTTTCAAACCCTCTTTCTGCAGTATCTGGAAGTGGACATTTCGAGCGCTTTCAGGCCTATGGTGAACAAGGAAATATCTTCCCATGCAAACTAGACAGAAGCATTCGCAGAAACTTGTTTGTGATGTGTGTCCTCAACTCACAGAGTTGAACATTTCGTTTGACAGAGCAGTTTGGAAACACGATTTTTGTAGAATCTGCAAGTGGATATTTGGATGGCTTTGTGGATTTCGTTGGAAACGGGAGTATCTTCATAGAAAACCTAGACAGTAACATTCTCAGAAACGGCTTTGTGATATCCGCATTCACGTCACAGAGTTGAACATTCCCTTTCATAGAGCAGGTTTGAAACACCCTTTCTGAAGTATCTGGATGTGGGCACTTGGAGCTCTTGGACGCTTATGGTGAAAAAGGAAATATCGTCCCATAAAACCTAGACAGAAGCATTCTCACAAACTGCTTTGTGACGTATGTCGTCAGCTAACAGAGTTGAGAATTTCTATTCACAGAGCAGTTTTGAAAGACTCTTTTGGAGTATCTGCTAGTGGATATGTGGAGAGCTTTAAGGATTTCACTGGAAACCGGAATATCTTCAGGTAAAATCTAGACAGAGGCATTCTCAGAAACTTCTTTGTAATGTGTGTCCTCAACTAACAGTGTACAACCTATCTTTTGATACAGCACGTTGGAAACACTCTTTTTATAGAATCTGCAAGTGGATATTTGGATAGCTCTAACGATTTCGTTGGAAACGGGAATACCTTCATATAAAATCTAGACAGTGGCACTCTCAGAAACTGCTTTGTGATATCTGCATTCAAGCCACAGAGTTGAACATTTCCCTTCCTAAAGCAGGTTTGAAACACTCTTTCTGTCGTATCTGGAAGTGGACATTTGGAGCACTTTGACGCCTTTGGTGAAAAAGGAAATGTCTTCCCATCAAAACTAGACAGAAGCATTCTAAGAAACATTTTTGGGATATATGTACTCAACTAACAGAGTTGAACCTTTCTCTTTATAGATCAGTTTTGGAAAGCTCTTTATGTGGAATCTGCAGATGGATATTCGGATAGCTCTGAGGATTTCGTTGGAGACGGGAATACATAAAGAAAGTAGACAGCAGCATTCTCGGGAGATTCTTTGTGATGTTTGCTTTTCAGTCACAGAGTTGAATATTCCCTTCAATAGAGCAGGTTTGAAACACTCTTTCTGTAGTATCTGGAAGTGGCCATTTCGATCGATTTCAGGCCTATGTTGAAAAAGGAAATATCTTAACATAAAAACTAGACAGAAGCATTCTCAGAAACGTCTTTGTGATGTGTGTCCTCAACTAACAGAGTTCAACCTTTCTTATGATACAGCAGTTGGGAAACACTCTTTTTATAGAATTTGCAAGTTGATACATGGATAGCCCTAACTATTTCGTTGGAAACGGGAATATCTTCACATAAAACCTAGACAGAAGCACTCTGAGAAACTACTTTGTGATATCTGCATTGATATCAGAGAGTTGAATATTCCCTTTCTAAGGGCAGGCTTGAAAGCGTCTTTTCGTGGAATCTGCAGGAGGATATTTGGATAGCTTTGAGGGTTACGTTGGAAACGGGATTACATGTACAAAGCAGACAGCAGCATTCTCAGAAGCTTCTTTATGATGTTTGCGTTCAAGTCACAGAGTTGAACGTTCCCTTTCATAGAGCAGGTTTCAAACCCTCTTTCTGCAGTATCTGGAAGTGGACATTTCGAGCGCTTTCAGGCCTATGGTGAACAAGGAAATATCTTCCCATGCAAACTAGACAGAAGCATTCGCAGAAACTTGTTTGTGATGTGTGTCCTCAACTCACAGAGTTGAACATTTCGTTTGACAGAGCAGTTTGGAAACACGATTTTTGTAGAATCTGCAAGTGGATATTTGGATGGCTTTGTGGATTTCGTTGGAAACGGGAGTATCTTCATAGACAACCTAGACAGTAACATTCTCAGAAACTGCTTTGTGATATCTGCATTCACGTCACAGAGTTGAACATTCCCTTTCATAGAGCAGGTTTGAAACAGTCTTTCTATAGTATCTGAATGTGGACACTTGGAGCGCTTGGACGCTTACGGTGAGAAAGGAAATATCTTCCCATAAAAACTAGACAGAAGCATTCTCACAAACTGCTTTGTGACGTATGTCGTCAGCTAACAGAGTTGAGCATTTCTATTCACAGAGCAGTTTTGAAAGACTCTTTTGGAGTATCTGCTAGTGGATATGTGGAGAACTTTAAGGATTTCACTGGAAACCGGAATATCTTCAGTTAAAATCTAGACAGAGGCATTCTCAGAAACTTCTTTGTAATGTGTGTCCTCAACTAACAGTGTACAACCTATCTTTTGATACAGCACGTTGGAAACACTCTTTTTATAGAATCTGCAAGTGGATATTTGGATAGCTCTAACGATTTCGTTGGAAACGGGAATACCTTCATATAAAATCTAGACAGTGGCACTCTCAGAAACTGCTTTGTGATATCTGCATTCAAGCCTCAGAGTTGAACATTTCCCTTCCTAAAGCAGGTTTGAAACACTCTTTCTGTCGTATCTGGAAGTGGACATTTGGAGCACTTTGACGCCTTTGGTGAAAAAGGAAATGTCTTCCCATCAAAACTAGACAGAAGCATTCTAAGAAACATTTTTGGGATATATGTACTGAACTAACAGAGTTGAACCTTTCTCTTTATAGATCAGTTTTGGAAAGCTCTTTATGTGGAATCTGCAGATGGATATTCGGATAGCTCTGAGGATTTCGTTGGAGACGGGAATACATAAAGAAAGTAGACAGCAGCATTCTCGGGAGATTCTTTGTGATGTTTGCTTTGAAGTCACAGAGTTGAATATTCCCTTCAATAGAGCAGGTTTGAAACACTCTTTCAGTAGTATCTGGAAGTGGACATTTCGATCGATTTCAGGCCTATGTTGAAAAAGGAAATATCTCAACATAAAAACTAGACAGAAGCATTCTCAGAAACGTCTTTGTGATGTGTGTCCTCAACTAACAGAGTTCAACCTTTCTTATGATACAGCAGTTGGGAAACACTCTTTTTATAGAATTTGCAAGCTGATACATGGATAGCCCTAACTATTTCGTTGGAAACGGGAATATCTTCACATAAAACCTAGACAGAAGCACTCTCAGAAACTACTTTTTGATATCTGCATTGATATCAGAGAGTTGAATATTCCCTTTCTAAGGGCAGGCTTGAAAGCGTCTTTTCGTGGAATCTGCAGGAGGATATTTGGATAGCTTTGAGGGTTACGTTGGAAACGGGATTACATGTACAAAGCAGACAGCAGCATTCTCAGAAGCTTCTTTATGATGTTTGCGTTCAAGTCACAGAGTTGAACGTTCCCTTTCATAGAGCAGGTTTCAAACCCTCTTTCTGCAGTATCCGGAAGTGGACATTTGGAGCGCTTTGAGGCCTATGTTGAAAAACGAAATATCTTCCCATAAAAACTAGACAGAAGCATTCGCAGAAACTTGTTTGTGATGTGTGTCCTCAACTCACAGAGTTGAACATTTCGTTTGACAGAGCAGTTTGGAAACACGATTTTTGTAGAATCTGCAAGTGGATATTTGGATGGCTTTGTGGATTTCGTTGGAAACGGGAGTATCTTCATAGAAAACCTAGACAGTAACATTCTCAGAAACTGCTTTGTGATATCTGCATTCACGTCACAGAGTAGAACATTCCCTTTCATAGAGCACGTTTGAAACACACTTTCTGTAGTATCTGGATGTGGACACTTGGAGCGCTTGGACGCTTATGGTGAAAAAGGAAATATCGTCCCATAAAAACTAGACAGAAGCATTCTCACAAACTGCTTTGTGACGTATGTCTTCAACTAACAGAGCTGAACATTTCTATTTACAGAGCAGTTTTGAAAGACTCTTTTGGAGTATCTGCTAGTGGATATTTGGAGAGCTTTAAGGATTTCAGTGGAAACCGGAATGTCTTCAGGTAAAATCTAGACAGAGGCATTCTCAGAAACTTCTTCGTAATGTGTGTCCTCAACTAACAGTGTACAACCTATCTTTTGATACAGCACGTTGGAAACACTCTTTTTATAGAATCTGCAAGTGGATATTTGGATAGCTCTAACGATTTCGTTGGAAACGGGAATACCTTCATATAAAATCTAAACAGTGGCACTCTCAGAAACTGCTTTGTGATATCTGCATTCAAGCCACAGAGTTGAACATTTCCCTTCCTAAAGCAGGTTTGAAACACTCTTTCTGTCGTATCTGGAAGTGGACATTTGGAGCACTTTGACGCCTTTGGTGAAAAAGGAAATGTCTTCCCATCAAAACTAGACAGAAGCATTCTAAGAAACATTTTTGGGATATATGTACTCAAGTAACAGAGTTGAACCTTTCTCTTTATAGATCAGTTTTGGAAAGCTCTTTATGTGGAATCTGCAAATGGATATTCGGATAGCTCTGAGGATTTCGTTGGAGACGGGAATACATAAAGAATGTAGACAGCAGCATTCTCGGGAGATTCTTTGTGATGTTTGCTTTGAAGTCACAGAGTTGAATATTCCCTTCAATAGAGCAGGTTTGAAACACTCTTTCTGTAGTATCTGGAAGTGGCCATTTCGATCGATTTCAGGCCTATGTTGAAAAAGGAAATATCTTAACATAAAAACTAGACAGAAGCATTCTCAGAAACGTCTTTGTGATGTGTGTCCTCAACTAACAGAGTTCAACCTTTCTTATGATACAGCAGTTTGGAAACACTCTTTTTATAGAATTTGCAAGCTGATACATGGATAGCCCTAACTATTTCGTTGGAAACGGGAATATCTTCACATAAAACCTAGACAGAAGCACTCTCAGAAACTACTTTGTGATATCTGCATTGATATCAGAGAGTTGAATATTCCCTTTCTAAGGGCAGGCTTGAAAGCGTCTTTTCGTGGAATCTGCAGGAGGATATTTGGATAGCTTTGAGGGTTACGTTGGAAACGGGATTACATGTACAAAGCAGACAGCAGCATTCTCAGAAGCTTCTTTATGATGTTTGCGTTCAAGTCACAGATTTGAACGTTCCCTTTCATAGAGCAGGTTTCAAACCCTCTTTCTGCAGTATCTGGAAGTGGACATTTCGAGCGCTTTCAGGCCTATGGTGAACAAGGAAATATCTTCCCATGCAAACTAGACAGAAGCATTCACAGAAACTTGATTGTGATGTGTGTCCTCAACTCACAGAGTTGAACATTTCGTTTGACAGAGTAGTTTGGAAACACGATTTTTGCAGAATCTGCAAGTGGATATTTGGATGGCTTTGTGGATTTCGTTGGAAACGGGAGTATCTTCATAGACAACCTAGACAGTAACATTCTCAGAAACGGCTTTGTGATATCCGCATTCACGTCACAGAGTTGAACATTCCCTTTCATAGAGCAGGTTTGAAACACACTTTCTGTAGTATCTGGATGTGGGCACTTGGAGCGCTTGGACGCTTATGGTGAAAAAGGAAATATCGTCCCATAAAAACTAGACAGAAGCATTCTCACAAACTGCTTTGTGACGTATGTCTTCAACTAACAGAGTTGAACATTTCTATTCACAGAGCAGTTTTGAAAGACTCTTTTGGAGTATCTGCTAGTGGATATTTGGAGAGCTTTAAGGATTTCATTGGAAACCGGAATATCTTCAGGTAAAATCTAGACAGAGGCATTCTCAGAAACTTCTTCGTAATGTGTGTCCTCAACTAACAGTGTACAACCTATCTTTTGATACAGCACGTTGGAAACACTCTTTTTATAGAATCTGCAAGTGGATAGTTGGATAGCTCTAACGATTTCGTTGGAAACGGGAATACCTTCATATAAAATCTAGACAGTGGCACTCTCAGAAACTGCTTTGTGATATCTGCATTCAAGCCACAGAGTTGAACATTTCCCTTCCTAAAGCAGGTTTGAAACACTCTTTTTGTCGTATCTGGAAGTGGACATTTGGAGCACTTTGACGCCTTTGGTGAAAAAGGAAATGTCTTCCCATGAAAACTAGACAGAAGCATTCTAAGAAACATTTTTGGGATATATGTACTCAACTAACAGAGTTGAACCTTTCTCTTTATAGATCAGTTTTGGAAAGCTCTTTATGTGGAATCTGCAGATGGATATTCGTATAGCTCTGAGGATTTCGTTGGAGACGGGAATACATAAAGAAAGTAGACAGCAGCATTCTCGGGAGATTCCTTGTGATGTTTGCTTTGAAGTCACAGAGTTGAATATTCCCTTCAATAGAGCAGGTTTGAAACACTCTTTCTGTAGTATCTGGAAGTGGCCATTTCGATCGATTTCAGGCCTATGTTGAAAAAGGAAATATCTCTACATAAAAACTAGACAGAAGCATTCTCAGAAACGTCTTTGTGATGTGTGTCCTCAACTAACAGAGTTCAACCTTTCTTATGATACAGCAGTTGGGAAACACTCTTTTTATAGAATTTGCAAGTTGATACATGGATAGCCCTAACTATTTTGTTGGAAACGGGAATATCTTCACATAAAACCTAGACAGAAGCACTCTCAGAAACTACTTTGTGATATCTGCATTGATATCAGAGAGTTGAATATTCCCTTTCTAAGGGCAGGCTTGAAAGCGTCTTTTCCTGGAATCTGCAGGAGGATATTTGGATAGCTTTGAGGGTTACGTTGGAAACGGGATTACATGTACAAAGCAGACAGCAGCATTCTCAGAAGCTTCTTTGTGATGTTTCCGTTTAAGTCACAGAGTTGAACGTTCCCTTTCATAGAGCAGGTTTCAAACCCTCTTTCTGCAGTATATGGAAGTGGACATTTCGAGCACTTTCAGGCCTATGGTGAACAAGGAAATATCTTCCCAAGCAAACTAGACAGAAGCATTCGCAGAAACTTGTTTGCGATGTGTGTCCTCAACTGACAGAGTTGAACATTTCGTTTGACAGAGCAGTTTGAAAACACGCTTTTTGTAGAATCTGCAAGTGGATATTTGGATAGCTTTGTGGATTTCGTTGGAAACGGGAGTATCTTCATAGAAAACCTAGACAGAAACATTCTCAGAAACGGATTTGTGATATCAGCATTCACTTCACAGAGTTGAACATTCCCTTTCATAGAGCAGGTTTGAAACACTCTTTCTGTAGTATCTGGATGTGGACACTTGGAGGGCTTGGACGCTTATGGTGAAAAAGGAAATATCTTCCTATAAAACCTAGACAGAAGCATTCTCACAAACTGCTTTGTGACGTATGTCGTCAGCTAACAGAGTTGAGCATTTCTATTCACAGAGCAGTTTTGAAAGACTCTTTTGGAGTATCTGCTAGTGGATATGTGGAGAGCTTTAAGGATTTCACTGGAAACCGGAATATCTTCAGGTAAAATCTAGACAGAGGCATTCTCAGAAACTTCTTTGTAATGTGTGTCCTCAACTAACAGTGTACAACCTATCTTTTGATACAGCACGTTGGAAACACTCTTTTTATAGAATCTGCAAGTGGATATTTGGATAGCTCTAACGATTTCGTTGGAAACGGGAATACCTTCATATAAAATCTAGACAGTGGCACTCTCAGAAACTGCTTTGTGATATCTGCATTCAAGCCACAGAGTTGAACATTTCCCTTCCTAAAGCAGGTTTGAAACACTCTTTCTGTCGTATCTGGAAGTGGACATTTGGAGCACTTTGACGCCTTTGGTGAAAAAGGAAATGTCTTCCCATCAAAACTAGACAGAAGCATTCTAAGAAACATTTTTGGGATATATGTACTCAACTAACAGAGTTGTACATTTCTCTTTATAGATCAGTTTTGGAAAACTCTTTATGTGGAATCTGCAGATGGATATTCGGATAGTTCTGAGGATTTCGTTGGAGACGGGAATACATAAAGAAAGTAGACAGCAGCATTCTCAGGAGATCCTTTGTGATGTTTGCTTTTAAGTCACAGAGTTGAATATTCCCTTCAATAGAGCAGGTTCGAAACACTCTTTCTGTAGTATCTGGAAGTGGACATTTCGATCGATTTCAGGACTATGTTGAAAAAGGAAATACCTTAACATCAAAACTAGACAGAAGCATTCTCAGAAACGTCTTTGTGATGTGTGTCCTCAACTAACAGAGTTCAACCTTTCTTATGATACAGCAGTTTGGAAACACTCTTTTTATAGAATTTGCAAGTTGATACATGGATAGCCCTAACTATTTCGTTGGAAACGGGAATATCTTCATATAAAACCTAGACAGAAGCACTCTCAGAAACTACTTTGTGATATCTGCATTGATATCAGAGAGTTGAATATTCCCTTTCTAAGGGCAGGCTTGAAAGCGTCTTTTCGTGGAATCTGCGGGAGGATATTTGGATAGCTTTGAGGGTTACGTTGGAAACGGGATTACATATACAAAGTAGACAGCAGCATTCTCAGAAGCTTCATTATGATGTTTGCGTTTAAGTCACAGAGTTGAACGTTCCCTTTCATAGAGCAGGTTTCAAACCCTCTTTCTGCAGTATCTGGAAGTGGACATTTCGAGCGCTTTCAGGCCTATGGTGAACAAGGAAATATCTTCCCATGCAAACTAGACAGAAGCATTCGCAGAAACTTGTTTGTGATGTGTGTCCTCAACTCACAGAGTTGAACATTTCGTTTGACAGAGCAGTTTGGAAACACGATTTTTGTAGAATCTGCAAGTGGATATTTGGATGGCTTTGTGGATTTCGTTGGAAACGGGAGTATCCTTCATAGACAACCTAGACAGTAACATTCTCAGAAACGGCTTTGTGATATCCGCATTCACGTCACAGAGTTGAACATTCCCTTTCATAGAGCAGGTTTGAAACACCCTTTCTGTAGTATCTGGATGTGGGCACTTGGAGCGCTTGGACGCTTATGGTGAAAAAGGAAATATCGTCCCATAAAAACTAGACAGAAGCATTTTCACAAACTGCTTTGAGACGTATGTCATCAGCTAACAGAGTTGAACATTTCTATTCACAGAGCAGTTTTGAAAGACTCTTTTGGAGTATCTGCTAGTGGATATGTGGAGAGCTTTAAGGATTTCACCGGAAACAGGAATAACTTCAGGTAAAATCTAGACAGAGGCATTCTCAGAAACTTCTTCGTCATGTGTGTCCTCAACTAACAGTGTACAACCTGTCTTTTGATACAGCACGTTGGAAACACTCTTTTTATAGAATCTGCAAGTGGATAGTTGGATAGCTCTAACGATTTCGTTGGAAACGGGAATACCTTCATATAAAATCTAGACAGTGGCACTCTGAGAAACTGCTTTGTGATATCTGCATTCAAGCCACAGAGTTGACCATTTCCCTTCCTAAAGCAGGTTTGAAACAATCTTTTTGTCGTATCTGGAAGTGGACATTTGGAGCACTTTGACGCCTTTGGTGAAAAAGGAAATGTCTTCCCATCAAAACTAGACAGAAGCATTCTAAGAAACATTTTTGGGATATATGTACTCAACTAACAGAGTTGAACCTTTCTCTTTATAGATCAGTTTTGGAAAGCTCTTTATGTGGAATCTGCAGATGGATGTTCGGATAGCTCTGAGGATTTCGTTGGAGACGGGAATACATAAAGAAAGTAGACAGCAGCATTCTCGGGAGATTCTTTGTGATGTTTGCTTTGAAGTCACAGAGTTGAATATTCCCTTCAATAGAGCAGGTTTGAAACACTCTTTCCGTAGTATCTGGAAGTGGACATTTCGATCGATTTCAGGCCTATGTTGAAAAAGGAAATATCTTAACATAAAAACTAGACAGAAGCATTCTCAGAAACGTCTTTGTGATGTGTGTCCTCAACTAACAGAGTTCAACCTTTCTTATGATACGGCAGTTGGGAAACACTCTTTTTATAGAATTTGCAAGTTGATACATGGATAGCCCTAACTATTTCGTTGGAAACGGGAATATCTTCACATAAAACCTAGACAGAAGCACTCTCAGAAACTACTTTGTGATATCTGCATTGATATCAGAGAGTTGAATATTCCCTTTCTAAGGGCAGGCTTGAAAGCGTCTTTTTGTGGAATCTGCAGGAGGATATTTGGATAGCTTGGAGGGTTACGTTGGAAACGGGATTACATATACAAAGTAGACAGCAGCATTCTCAGAAGCTTCTTTGTGATGTTTGCGTTTAAGTCACAGAGTTGAACGTTCCCTTTCAGAGAGCAGGTTTCAAACCCTCTTTCTGCAGTATCTGGAAGTGGACATTTCGAGCGCTTTCAGGCCCATGGTGAACAAGGAAATATCTTCCCAAGCAAACTAGACAGAAGCATTCGCAGAAACTTGATTGTGATGTGTGTCCTCAACTCACGGAGTTGAACATTTCGTTTGACAGAGCAGTTTGGAAACACGATTTTTGTAGAATCTGCAAGTGGATATTTGGATGGCTTTGTGGATTTCGTTGGAAACGGGAGTATCTTCACAGACAACCTAGACAGTAACATGCTCAGAAACTGCTTTGTGATATCTGCATTCACGTCACAGAGTTGAACATTCCCTTTCATAGAGCAGGTTTGAAACACACTTTCTGTAGTATCTGGATGTGGGCACTTGGAGCGCTTGGACGCTTATGGTGAAAAAGGACAGATCGTCCCATAAAAACTGGACAGAAGCATTCTCACAAACTGCTTTGTGACGTATGTCTTCAACTAACAGAGTTGAACATTTCTATTCACAGAGCAGTTTTGAAAGACTCTTTTGGAGTATCTGCTAGTGGATATTTGGAGAGCTTTAAGGATTTCATTGGAAACCGGAATATCTTCAGGTAAAATCTAGACAGAGGCATTCTCAGAAACTTCTTCGTCATGTGTGTCCTCAACTAACAGTGTACAACCTGTCTTTTGATACAGCACGTTGGAAACACTCTTTTTATAGAATCTGCAAGTGGATAGTTGGATAGCTCTAACGATTTCGTTGGAAACGGGAATACCTTCATATAAAATCTAGACAGTGGCACTCTCAGAAACTGCTTTGTGATATCTGCATTCAAGCCACAGAGTTGGACATTTCCCTTCCTAAAGCAGGTTTGAAACACTCTTTTTGTCGTATCTGGAAGTGGACATTTGGAGCACTTTGACGCCTTTCGTGAAAAAGGAAATGTCTTCCCATCAAAACTAGACAGAAGCATTCTAAGAAACATTTTTGGGATATGTGTACTCAACTAACAGAGTTGAACCTTTCTCTTTATAGATCAGTTTTGGAAAGCTCTTTATGTGGAATCTGCAGATGGATATTCGGATAGCTCTGAGGATTTCGTTGGAGACGGGAATACATAAAGAAAGTAGACAGCAGCATTCTCAGGAGATGCTTTGTGATGTTTGCTTTTAAGTCACAGAGTTGAATATTCCCTTCAATAGAGCAGGTTTGAAACACTCTTTCTGTAGTATCTGGAAGTGGACATTTCGATCGATTACAGGCCTATGTTGAGAAAGGAAATATCTTAACATAAAAACTAGACAGAAGCATTCTCAGAAACGTCGTTGTGATGTGTGTCCTCAAATAACAGAGTTCAACCTTTCTTATGATACAGCAGTTTGGAAACACTCTTTTTATAGAATTTGCAAGTTGATACATGGATAGCCCTAACTATTTCGTTGGAAACGGGAATATCTTCATATAAAAGGTAGACAGAAGCACTCTCAGAAACTACTTTGTGATATCTGCATTGATAACAGAGAGTTGAATATTCCCTTTCTAAGGGCAGGATTGAAAGCGTCTTTTCGTGGAATCTGCAGGAGGATATTTGGATAGCTTTGAGGGTTACGTTGGAAACGGGATTACATATACAAAGTTGACAGCAGCATTCTCAGAAGCTTCTTTGTGATGTTTGCGTTTAAGTCACAGAGTTGAACGTTCCCTTTCATAGAGCAGGTTTCAAACCCTCTTTCTGCAGTATCTGGAAGTGGACATTTCGAGCGCTTTCAGGCCTATGGTGAACAAGGAAATATCTTCCCAAGCAAACTAGACAGAAGCATTCGCAGAAACTTGTTTGTGATGTGTGTCCTCAACTCACAGAGTTGAACATTTCGTTTGACAGAGCAGTTTGGAAACACGATTTTTGTAGAATCTGCAAGTGGATATTTGGATGGCTTTGTGGATTTCGTTGGAAACGGGAGTATCTTCATAGACAACCTAGACAGTAACATTCTCAGAAACTGCTTTGTGATATCTGCATTCACGACACAGAGTTGAACATTCCCTTTCATAGAGCAGGTTTGAAACACACTTTCTGTAGTATCTGGATGTGGGCACTTGGAGCGCTTGGACGCTTATGGTGAAAAAGGACATATCGTCCCATAAAATCTGGACAGAATCATTCTCACAAACTGCTTTGTGACGTATGTCTTCAACTAACAGAGTTGAACATTTCTATTCACAGAGCACTTTCGAAGGACTCTTTTGGAGTATCTGCTAGTGGATATTTGGAGAGCTTTAAGGATTTCATTGGAAACCGGAATATTTTCAGGTAAAATCTAGACAGAGGCATTCTCAGAAACTTCTTCGTAATGAGTGTCCTCAACTAACAGTGTACAACCTATCTTTTGATACAGCACGTTGGAAACACTCTTTTTATAGAATCTGCAAGTGGATAGTTGGATAGCTCTAACGATTTCATTGGAAACGGGAATACCTTCATATAAAATCTAGACAGTGGCACTCGCAGAAACTGCTTTGTGATATCTGCACTCAAGCCACAGAGTTGAACATTTCCCTTCCTAAAGCAGGTTTGAAACACTCTTTCTGTCGTATCTGGAAGTGGACATTTGGAGCACTTTGACGCCTTTGGTGAAAAAGGACATGTCTTCCCATCAAAACTAGACAGAAGCATTCTAAGAAACATTTTTGGGATATATGTACTCAACTAACAGAGTTGAACCTTTCTCTTTATAGATCAGTTTTGGAAAGCTCTTTATGTGGAATCTGCAGATGGATGTTCGGATAGCTCTGAGGATTTCGTTGGAGACGGGAATACATAAAGAAAGTAGACAGCAGCATTCTCGGGAGATTCTTTGTGATGTTTGCTTTTCAGTCACAGAGTTGAATATTCCCTTCAATAGAGCAGGTTTGAAACACTCTTTCTGTAGTATCTGGAAGTGGCCATTTCGATCGATTTCAGGCCTATGTTGAAAAAGGAAATATCTTAACATAAAAACTAGACAGAAGCATTCTCAGAAACGTCTTTGTGATGTGTGTCCTCAACTAACAGAGTTCAACCTTTCTTATGATACAGCAGTTGGGAAACACTCTTTTTATAGAATTTGCAAGTTGATACATGGATAGCCCTAACTATTTTGTTGGAAACGGGAATATCTTCACATAAAACCTAGACAGAAGCACTCTCAGAAACTACTTTGTGATATCTGCATTGATATCAGAGAGTTGAATATTCCCTTTCTAAGGGCAGGCTTGAAAGCGTCTTTTCGTGGAATCTGCAGGAGGATATTTGGATAGCTTTGAGGGTTACGTTGGAAACGGGATTACATGTACAAAGCAGACAGCAGCATTCTCAGAAGCTTCTTTATGATGTTTGCGTTCAAGTCACAGAGTTGAACGTTCCGTTTCATAGAGCAGGTTTCAAACCTTCTTTCTGCAGTATCTGGAAGTGGACATTTCGAGCGCTTTCAGGCCTATGGTGAACAAGGAAATATCTTCCCATGCAAACTAGACAGAAGCATTCGCAGAAACTTGTTTGTGATGTGTGTCCTCAACTCACGGAGTTGAACATTTCGTTTGACAGAGCAGTTTGGAAACACAATTTTTGTAGAATCTGCAAGTGGATATTTGGATGGCTTTGTGGATTTCGTTGGAAACGGGAGTATCTTCACAGACAACCTAGACAGTAACATGCTCAGAAACTGTTTTGTGATATCTGCATTCACGTCACAGAGTTGAACATTCCCTTTCATAGAGCAGGTTTGAAACACACTTTCTGTAGTATCTGGATGTGGGCACTTGGAGCGCTTGGACGCTTATGGTGAAAAAGGACAGATCGTCCCATAAAAACTGGACAGAAGCATTCTCACAAACTGCTTTGTGACGTATGTCTTCAACTAACAGAGTTGAACATTTCTATTCACAGAGCAGTTTTGAAAGACTCTTTTGGAGTATCTGCTAGTGGATATTTGGAGAGCTTTAAGGATTTCATTGGAAACCGGAATATCTTCAGGTAAAATCTAGACAGAGGCATTCTCAGAAACTTCTTCGTAATGTGTGTCCTCAACTAACAGTGTACAACCTATCTTTTGATACAGCACGTTGGAAACACTCTTTTTATAGAATCTGCAAGTGGATAGTTGGATAGCTCTAACGATTTCGTTGGAAACGGGAATACCTTTATATAAAATCTAGACAGTGGCACTCTCAGAAACTGCTTTGTGATATCTGCATTCAAGCCACAGAGTTGAACATTTCCCTTCCTAAAGCAGGTTTGAAACACTCTTTTTGTCGTATCTGGAAGTGGACATTTGGAGCACTTTGACGCCTTTGGTGAAAAAGGAAATGTCTTCCCATGAAAACTAGACAGAAGCATTCTAAGAAACATTTTTGGGATATATGTACTCAACTAACAGAGTTGAACCTTTCTCTTTATAGATCAGTTTTGGAAAGCTCTGTATGTGGAATCTGCAGATGGATATTCGGATAGCTCTGAGGATTTCGTTGGAGACGGGAATACATAAAGAAAGTAGACAGCAGCATTCTCAGGAGATTCTTTGTGATGTTTGCTTTTAAGTCACAGAGTTGAATATTCCCTTCAATAGAGCAGGTTTGAAACACTCTTTCTGTAGTATCTGGAAGTGGACATTTCGATCGATTTCAGGCCTATGTTGAAAAAGGAAATACCTTAACATAAAAACTAGACAGAAGCATTCTCAGAAACGTCTTTGTGATGTGTGTCCTCAACTAACAGAGTTCAACCTTTCTTATGATACAGCAGTTTGGAAACACTCTTTTTATAGAATTTGCAAGTTGATACATGGATAGCCCTAACTATTTCGTTGGAAACGGGAATATCTTCATATAAAACCTAGGCAGAAGCACTCTCAGAAACTACTTTGTGATATCTGCATTGATATCAGAGAGTTGAATATTCCCTTTCTAAGGGCAGGCTTGAAAGCGTCTTTTCGTGGAATCTGCGGGAGGATATTTGGATAGCTTTGAGGGTTACGTTGGAAACAGGATTATATATACAAAGTAGACAGCAGCATTCTCAGAAGCTTCTTTATGATGTTTGCGTTTAAGTCCCAGAGTTGAACGTTCCCTTTCATAGAGCAGGTTTCAAACCCTCTTTCTGCAGTATCTGGAAGTGGACATTTCGAGCGCTTTCAGGCCCATGGTGAACAAGGAAATATCTTCCCATGCAAACTAGACAGAAGCATTCACAGAAACTTGTTTCTGATGTGTGTCCTCAACTCACGGAGTTGAACATTTCGTTTGACAGAGCAGTTCGGAAACACGAATTTGTAGAATCTTCAAGTGGATATTTGGATGGCTTTGTGGATTTCGTTGGAAACGGGAGTATCTTCATAGACAACCTAGACAGTAACATTCTCAGAAACTGCTTTGTGATATCTGCATTCACGACACAGAGTTGAACATTCCCTTTCATAGAGCAGGTTTGAAACACACTTTCTGTAGTATCTGGATGTGGGCACTTGGAGCGCTTGGACGCTTATGGTGAAAAAGGACATATCGTCCCATAAAAACTGGACAGAAGCATTCTCACAAACTGGTTTGTGATGTATGTCCTCAACTAATAGAGTTGAACATTTCTATTTACAGAGCAGTTTTGAAAGACTCATTTTGGAGAATCTGCAAGAGGATATTTGGAGAGCTTTAAGGATTTCATTGGAAACCGGAATATCTTCAGGTGAAATCTAGACAGAGGCATTCTCAGAAACTTCTTTATGATGTGTGTCCTCAACGGACAGAGTACAACCTGTCTTTTGATACTGCAGTTTGGAAACACTCTTTTTGTAGAATCTGCAAGTGGATATTTGGATAGCTCTAACGATTTCGTTGGAAACGGGAATACCTTCATATTAAATCTAGACAGTGGCACTCGCAGAAACTGCTTTGTGATATCTGCATTCAAGCCACAGAGTTGAACATTTCCCTTCCTAAAGCAGGTTTGAAACACTCTTTCTGTCGTATCTGGAAGTGGACATTTGGAGCACTTTGACGCCTTTGGTGAAAAAGGAAATGTCTTCCCATCAAAACTAGACAGAAGCATTCTAAGAAACATTTTTGGGATATATGTACTCAACTAACAGAGTTGAACCTTTCTCTTTATAGATCAGTTTTGGAAAGCTCTTTATGTGGAATCTGCAGATGGATATTCGGATAGCTCTGAGGATTTCGTTGGAGACGGGAATACATAAAGAAAGTAGACAGCAGCATTCTCGGGAGATTCTTTGTGATGTTTGCTTTTCAGTCACAGAGTTGAATATTCCCTTCAATAGAGCAGGTTTGAAACACTCTTTCTGTAGTATCTGGAAGTGGCCATTTCGATCGATTTCAGGCCTATGTTGAAAAAGGAAATATCTTAACATAAAAACTAGACAGAAGCATTCTCAGAAACGTCTTTGTGATGTGTGTCCTCAACTAACAGAGTTCAACCTTTCTTATGATACAGCAGTTGGGAAACACTCTTTTTATAGAATTTGCAAGTTGATACATGGATAGCCCTAACTATTTCGTTGGAAACGGGAATATCTTCACATAAAACCTAGACAGAAGCACTCTCAGAAACTACTTTGTGATATCTGCATTGATATCAGAGAGTTGAATATTCCCTTTCTAAGGGCAGGCTTGAAAGCGTCTTTTCGTGGAATCTGCAGGAGGATATTTGGATAGCTTTGAGGGTTACGTTGGAAACGGGATTACATGTACAAAGCAGACAGCAGCATTCTCAGAAGCTTCTTTATGATGTTTGCGTTCAAGTCACAGAGTTGAACGTTCCCTTTCATAGAGCAGGTTTCAAACCCTCTTTCTGCAGTATCTGGAAGTGGACATTTCGAGCGCTTTCAGGCCTATGGTGAACAAGGAAATATCTTCCCATGAAAACTAGACAGAAGCATTCACAGAAACTTGTTTGTGATGTGTGTCCTCAACTCACAGAGTTGAACATTTCGTTTGACAGAGCAGTTTGGAAACACGATTTTTGTAGAATCTGCAAGTGGATATTTGGATGGCTTTGTGGATTTCGTTGGAAACGGGAGTATCTTCATAGAAAACCTAGACAGTAACATTCTCAGAAACGGCTTTGTGATATCCGCATTCACGTCACAGAGTTGAACATTCCCTTTCATAGAGCAGGTTTGAAACACACTTTCTGTAGTATCTGCATGTGGGCACTTGGAGCGCTTGGACGCTTATGGTTAAAAAGGAAATATCGTCCCATAAAAACTAAACAGAAGCATTCTCACAAACTGCTTTGTGACGTATGTCTTCAACTAACAGAGTTGAACATTTCTATTCACAGAGCAGTTTTGAAAGACTCTTTTGGAGTATCTGCTAGTGGATATTTGGAGAGCTTTAAGGATTTCATTGGAAACCGGAATATCTTCAGGTAAAATCTAGACAGAGGCATTCTCAGAAACTTCTTCGTAATGTGTGTCCTCAACTAACAGTGTACAACCTATCTTTTGATACAGCACGTTGGAAACACTCTTTTTATAGAATCTGCAAGTGGATAGTTGGATAGCTCTAACGATTTCGTTGGAAACGGGAATACCTTCATATAAAATCTAGACAGTGGCACTCTCAGAAACTGCTTTGTGATATCTGCATTCAAGCCACAGAGTTGAACATTTCCCTTCCTGAAGCAGGTTTGAAACACTCTTTTTGTCGTATCTGGAAGTGGACATTTGGAGCACTTTGACGCCTTTGGTGAAAAAGGAAATGTCTTCCCATGAAAACTAGACAGAAGCATTCTAAGAAACATTTTTGGGATATATGTACTCAACTAACAGAGTTGAACCTTTCTCTTTATAGATCAGTTTTGGAAAGCTCTTTATGTGGAAACTGCAAATGGATATTCGGATAGCTCTGAGGATTTCGTTGGAGACGGGAATACATAAAGAAAGTAGACAGCAGCATTCTCAGGAGATTCTTTGTGATGTTTGCTTTTAAGTCACAGAGTTGAATATTCCCTTCAATAGAGCAGGTTTGAAACACTCTTTCTGTAGTATCTGGAAGTGGACATTTCGATCGATTTCAGGCCTATGTTGAAAAAGGAAATACCTTAACATAAAAACTAGACAGAAGCATTCTCAGAAACGTCTTTGTGATGTGTGTCCTCAACTAACAGAGTTCAACCTTTCTTATGATACAGCAGTTTGGAAACACTCTTTTTATAGAATTTGCATGTTGATATATGGATAGCCCTAACTATTTCGTTGGAAACGGGAATATCTTCATATAAAACCTAGACAGAAACACTCTCAGAAACTACTTTGTGATATCTGCATTGATATCAGAGAGTTGAATATTCCCTTTCTAAGGGCAGGTTTGAAAGCGTCTTTTCGTGGAATCTGCAGGAGGATATTTGGATAGCTTTGAGGATTACGTTGGAAACGGGATTACATATACAAAGTAGACAGCAGCATTCTCAGAAGCTTCGTCATGATGTTTGCGTTTAAGTCACAGAGTTGAACGTTCCCTTTCATAGAGCAGGTTTCAAACCCTCTTTCTGCAGTATCTGGAAGTGGACATTTCGAGCGCTTTCAGGCCTATGGTGAACAAGGAAATATCTTCCCATGCAAACTAGACAGAAGCATTCGCAGAAACTTGTTTGTGATGTGTGTCCTCAACTCACAGAGTTGAACATTTCGTTTGACAGAGCAGTTTGGAAACACGATTTTTGTAGAATCTGCAAGCGGATATTTGGATGGCTTTGTGGATTTCGTTGGAAACGGGAGTATCTTCATAGAAAACCTAGACAGTAACATTCTCAGAAACTGCTTTGTGATATCTGCATTCACGTCACAGAGTAGAACATTCCCTTTCATAGAGCACGTTTGAAACACACTTTCTGTAGTATCTGGATGTGGACACTTGGAGCGCTTGGACGCTTATGGTGAAAAAGGAAATATCGTCCCATAAAAACTAGACAGAAGCATTCTCACAAACTGCTTTGTGACGTATGTCTTCAACTAACAGAGTTGAATATTTCTATTTACAGAGCAGTTTTGAAAGACTCTTTTAGAGTATCTGCTAGTGGATATTTGGAGAGCTTTAAGGATTTCATTGGAAACCGGAATGTCTTCAGGTAAAATCTAGACAGAGGCATTCTCAGAAACTTCTTCGTAATGTGTGTCCTCAACTAACAGTGTACAACCTATCTTTTGATACAGCACGTTGGAAACACTCTTTTTATAGAATCTGCAAGTGGATATTTGGATAGCTCTAACGATTTCGTTGGAAACGGGAATACCTTCATATAAAATCTAGACAGTGGCACTCTCAGAAACTGCTTTGTGATATCTGCATTCAAGCCACAGAGTTGAACATTTCCCTTCCTAAAGCAGGTTTGAAACACTCTTTCTGTCGTATCTGGAAGTGGACATTTGGAGCACTTTGACGCCTTTGGTGAAAAAGGAAATGTCTTCCCATCAAAACTAGACAGAAGCATTCTAAGAAACATTTTTGGGATATATGTACTCAACTAACAGAGTTGAACCTTTCTCTTTATAGATCAGTTTTGGAAAGCTCTTTATGTGGAATCTGCAGATGGATATTCGGATAGCTCTGAGGATTTCGTTGGAGACGGGAATACATAAAGAAAGTAGACAGCAGCATTCTCAGGAGATACTTTGTGATGTTTGCTTTTAAGTCACAGAGTTGAATATTCCCTTCAATAGAGCAGGTTTGAAACACTCTTTCTGTAGTATCTGGAAGTGGACATTTCGATCGATTTCAGGCCTATGTTGAAAAAGGAAATATCTTAACATAAAAACTAGACAGAAGCATTCTCAGAAACGTCTTTGTGATGTGTGTCCTCAACTAACAGAGTTCAACCTTTCTTATGATACAGCAGTTTGGAAACACTCTTTTTATAGAATTTGCAAGTTGATACATGGATAGCCCTAACTATTTCGTTGGAAACGGGAATATCTTCATATAAAACCTAGGCAGAAGCACTCTCAGAAACTACTTTGTGATATCTGCATTGATATCAGAGAGTTGAATATTCCCTTTCTAAGGGCAGGCTTGAAAGCGTCTTTTTGTGGAATCTGCAGGAGGATATTTGGATAGCTTTGAGGGTTACGTTGGAAACGGGATTACATATACAAAGTAGACAGCAGCATTCTCAGAAGCTTCTTTGTGATGTTTGCGTTTAAGTCACAGAGTTGAACGTTCCCTTTCAGAGAGCAGGTTTCAAACCCTCTTTCTGCAGTATCTGGAAGTGGACATTTCGAGCGCTTTCAGGCCCATGGTGAACAAGGAAATATCTTCCCAAGCAAACTAGACAGAAGCATTCGCAGAAACTTGTTTGTGATGTGTGTCCTCAACTCACAGAGTTGAACATTTCGTATGACAGAGCAGTTTGGAAACACGATTTTTGCAGAATCTGCAAGTGGATATTTGGATGGCTTTGTGGATTTCGTTGAAAACGGGAGTATCTTCATGGACAACCTAGACAGTAACATTCTCAGAAACGGCTTTGTGATATCCGCATTCACGTCACAGAGTTGAACTTTCCCTCTCATAGAGCAGGCTTGAAACACACTTTCTGTAGTATCTGGATGTGGGCACTTGGAGCGCTTGGACGCTTATGGTGAAAAAGGAAATATCGTCCCATAAAAACTAGACAGAAGCATTCTCACAAACTGCTTTGTGACGTATGTCTTCAACTAACAGAGTTGAACATTTCTATTCACAGAGCCGTTTTGAAAGACTCTTTTGGAGTGTCTGCTAGTGGATATTTGGAGAGCTTTAAGGATTTCATTGGAAACCGGAATATCTTCAGGTAAAATCTAGACAGAGGCATTCTCAGAAACTTCTTTGTAATGTGTGTCCTCAACTAACAGTGTACAACCTATCTTTTGATACAGCACGTTGGAAACACTCTTTTTATAGAATCTGCAAGTGGATAGTTGGATAGCTCTAATGATTTCGTTGGAAACGGGAAGACCTTCATATAAAATCTAGACAGTGGCACTCTCAGAAACTGCTTTGTGATATCTGCATTCAAGCCACAGAGTTGAACATTTCCCTTCCTAAAGCAGGTTTGAAACACTCTTTTTGTCGTATCTGGAAGTGGACATTTGGAGCACTTTGACGCCTTTGGTGAATAAGGAAATGTCTTCCCATCAAAACTAGACAGAAGCATTCTAAGAAACATTTTTGGGATATATGTACTCAACTAACAGGGTTGAACCTTTCTCTTTATAGATCAGTTTTGGAAAGCTCTTTATGTGGAATCTGCAGATGGATATTCGGATAGCTCTGAGGATTTCGTTGGAGACGGGAATACATAAAGAAATTAGACAGCAGCATTCTCAGGAGATTCTTTGTGATGTTTGCTTTTAAGTCACAGAGTTGAATATTCCCTTCAAAAGAGCAGGTTTGAAACACTCTTTCTGTAGTATCTGGAAGTGGACATTTCGATCGATTTCAGGCCTATGTTGAAAAAGGAAATATCTTTACATAAAAACTAGACAGAAGCATTCTCAGAAACGGCGTTGTGATGTGTGTCCTCAACTAACAAAGTTCAACCTTTCTTATGATACAGCAGTTTGGAAACACTCTTTTTATAGAATTTGCAAGTTGATACATGGATAGCCCTAGCTATTTCGTTGGAAACGGGAATATCTTCATATAAAACCTAGACAGAAGCACTCTCAGAAACTACTTTGTGATATCTGCATTGATATCAGAGAGTTGCATATTCCCTTTCTAAGGGCAGGCTTGAAAGCGTCTTTTCGTGGAATCTGCAGGAGGATATTTGGATAGCTTTGAGGGTTACGTTGGAAACGGGATTGCATATACAAAGTAGACAGCAGCATTCTCAGAAGCTTCTTTATGATGTTTGCGTTTAAGTCACAGAGTTGAACGTTCCCATTCATAGAGCAGGTTTCAAACCCTCTTTCTGCAGTATCTGGAAGTGGACATTTCGAGCGCTTTCAGGCCTATGGTGAACAAGGAAATATCTTCCCATGCAAACTAGACAGAAGCATTCGCAGAAACTTGTTTGTGATGTGTGTCCTCAACTCACGGAGTTGAACATTTCGTTTGACAGAGCAGTTTGGAAACACGATGTTTGTAGAATCTGCAAGTGGATATTTGGATGGCTTTGTGGATTTCGTTGGAAACGGGAGTATCTTCATAGACAACCTAGACAGTAACATGCTCAGAAACTGTTTTGTGATATCTGCATTTACGTCACAGAGTTGAACATTCCCTTTCATAGAGCAGGTTTGAAACACACTTTCTGTAGTATCTGGATGTGGGCACTTGGAGCGCTTGGACGCTTATGGTGAAAAAGGACATATCGTCCATAAAAACTGGACAGAAGCATTCTCACAAACTGCTTTGTGACGTATGTCTTCAACAAACAGAGTTGAACATTTCTATTCACAGAGCAGTTTTGAAAGACTCTTTTGGAGTATCTGCTAGTGGATATTTGGAGAGCTTTAAGGATTTCATTGGAAACCGGAATATCTTCAGGTAAAATCTAGACAGAGGCATTCTCAGAAACTTCTTCGTAATGTGTGTCCTCAACTAACAGTGTACAACCTATCTTTTGATACAGCACGTTGGAAACACTCTTTTTATAGAATCTGCAAGTGGATAGTTGGGTAGCTCTAACGATTTCGTTGGAAACGGGAATACCTTCATATAAAATCTAGACAGTGGCACTCTCAGAAACTGCTTTGTGATATCTGCATTCAAGCCACAGAGTTGAACATTTCCCTTCCTAAAGCAGGTTTGAAACACTCTTTCTGTCGTATCTGGAAGTGGACATTTGGAGCACTTTGACGCCTTTGGTGAAAAAGGAAATGTCTTCCCATGAAAACTAGACAGAAGCATTCTAAGAAACATTTTTGGGATATAAGTACTCAACTAACAGAGTTGAACCTTTCTCTTTATAGATCAGTTTTGGAAAGCTCTTTATGTGGAATCTGCAGATGGACATTCGGATAGCTCTGAGGATTTCTTTGGAGACGGGAATACATAAGGAAAGTAGACAGCAGCATTCTCAGGAGATACTTTGTGATGTTTGCTTTTAAGTCACAGAGTTGAATATTCCCTTCAATAGAGCAGGTTTGAAACACTCTTTCTGTAGTATCTGGAAGTGGACATTTCGATCGATTTCAGGCCTATGTTGAAAAAGGAAATACCTTAACATCAAAACTAGACAGAAGCATTCTCAGAAACGTCTTTGTGATGTGTGTCCTCAACTAACAGAGTTCAACCTTTCTTATGATACAGCAGTTTGGAAATACTCTTTTTATAGAATTTGCAAGTTGATACATGGATAGCCCTAACTATTTCGTTGGAAACGGGAATATCTTCATATAAAACCTAGACAGAAGCTCTCTCAGAAACTACTTTGTGATATCTGCGTTGATATCAGAGAGTTGAATATTCCCTTTCTAAGGACAGGCTTGAAAGCGTCTTTTCGTGGAATCTGCAGGAGGATATTTGGATAGCTTTGAGGGTTACGTTGGAAACGGGATTACATATACAAAGTAGACAGCAGCATTCTCAGAAGCTTCTTTATGATGTTTGCGTTTAAGTCACAGAGTTGAACGTTCCCTTTCATAGAGCAGGTTTCAAACCCTCTTTCTGCAGTATCTGGAAGTGGACATTTCGAGCGCTTTCAGGCCTATGGTGAACAAGGAAATATCTTCTCATGCAAACTAGACAGAAGCATTCCCAGAAACTTGTTTGTGATGTGTGTCCTCAACTCACAGAGTTGAACATTTCGTTTGACAGAGCAGTTTGGAAACACGATTTTTGTAGAATCTGCAAGTGGATATTTGGATGGCTTTGTGGATTTCGTTGGAAACGGGAGTATCTTCATAGAAAACCTAGACAGTAACATGCTCAGAAACTGCTTTGTGATATCTGCATTCACGTCACAGAGTTGAACATTCCCTTTCATAGAGCAGGTTTGAAACACACTTTCTGTAGTATCTGGATGTGGGCACTTGGAGCGCTTGGACGCTTATGGTGAAAAAGGACATATCGTCCCATAAAAACTGGACAGAAGCATTCTCACAAACTGCTTTCTGACGTATGTCTTCAACTAACAGAGTTGAACATTTCTATTCACAGAGCAGTTTTGAAAGACTCTTTTGGAGTATCTGCTAGTGGATATTTGGAGAGCTTTAAGGATTTCATTGGAAACCGGAATATCTTCAGGTAAAATCTAGACAGAGGCATTCTCAGAAACTTCTTCATAATGTGTGTCCTCAACTAACCGTGTACAACCTATCTTTTGAAACAGCACGTTGGAAACACTCTTTTTATAGAATCTGCAAGTGGATAGTTGGATAGCGCTAACGATATCGTTGGAAACGGGAATACCTTTATATAAAATCTAGACAGTGGCACTCTCAGAAACTGCTTTGTGATATCTGCATTCAAGCCACAGAGTTGAACATTTCCCTTCCTAAAGCAGGTTTGAAACACTCTTTTTGTCGTATCTGGAAGTGGACATTTGGAGCACTTTGACGCCTTTGGTGAAAAAGGAAATGTCTTCCAATCAAAACTAGACAGAAGCATTCTAAGAAACATTTTTGGGATATATGTACTCAACTAACAGATTTGAACCTTCCTCTTTATAGATCAGTTTTGGAAAGCTCTTTACGTGGAATCTGCAAGTGGATATTCGGATAGATCTGAGGATTTCGCTGGAGACGGGAATACATAAAGAAAGTAGACAGCAGCATTCTCGGGAGATTCTTTGTGATGTTTGCTTTTAAGTCACAGAGTTGAATATTCCCTTCAATAGAGCAGGTTTGAAACACTCTTTCTGTAGTATCTGGAAGTGGACATTTCGATCGATTTCAGGCCTATGTTGAAAAAGGAAATATCGTAACATAAAAACTAGACAGAAGCATTCTCAGAAACGTCTTTGTGATGTGTGTCCTCAACTAACAGAGTTCAACCTTTCTTATGATACAGCAGTTTGGAAATACTCTTTTTATAGAATTTGCAAGTTGATACATGGATAGCCCTAACTATTTCGTTGGAAACGGGAATATCTTCATATAAAACCTAGACAGAAGCTCTCTCAGAAACTACTTTGTGATATCTGCGTTGATATCAGAGAGTTGAATATTCCCTTTCTAAGGACAGGCTTGAAAGCGTCTTTTCGTGGAATCTGCAGGAGGATATTTGGATAGCTTTGAGGGTTACGTTGGAAACGGGATTACATATACAAAGTAGACAGCAGCATTCTCAGAAGCTTCTTTGTGATGTTTGCGTTTAAGTCACAGAGTTGAACGTTCCCTTTCATAGAGCAGGTTTCAAACCCTCTTTCTGCAGTATCTGGAAGTGGACATTTCGAGCGCTTTCAGGCCCATGGTGAACAAGGAAATATCTTCCCATGCAAACTAGACAGAAGCATTCGCAGAAACTTGTTTGTGATGTGTGTCCTCAACTCACGGAGTTGAACATTTCGTTTGACAGAGCAGTTTGGAAACACGATTTTTGTAGAATCTGCAAGTGGATATTTGGATGGCTTTGTGGATTTCGTTGGAAACGGGAGTATCTTCACAGACAACCTAGACAGTAACATGCTCAGAAACTGTTTTGTGATATCTGCATTCACGTCACAGAGTTGAACATTCCCTTTCATAGAGCAGGTTTGAAACACACTTTCTGTAGTATCTGGATGTGGGCACTTGGAGCTCTTGGACGCTTATGGTGAAAAAGGACATATCGTCCCATAAAAACTGGACAGAAGCATTCTCACAAACTGCTTTGTGACGTATGTCTTCAACTAACAGAGTTGAACATTTCTATTCACAGAGCAGTTTTGAAAGACTCTTTTGGAGTATCTGCTAGTGGATATTTGGAGAGCTTTAAGGATTTCATTGGAAACCGGAATATCTTCAGGTAAAATCTAGACAGAGGCATTCTCAGAAACTTCTTCGTAATGTGTGTCCTCAACTAACAGTGTACAACCTATCTTTTGATACAGCACGTTGGAAACACTCTTTTTATAGAATCTGCAAGTGGATAGTTGGATAGCTCTAACGATTTCGTTGGAAACGGGAATACCTTCATATAAAATCTAGACAGTGGCACTCTCAGAAACTGCTTTGTGATATCTGCATTCAAGCCACAGAGTTGAACATTTCCCTTCCTAAAGCAGGTTTGAAACACTCTTTTTGTCGTATCTGGAAGTGGACATTTGGAGCACTTTGACGCCTTTGGTGAAAAAGGAAATGTCTTCCCATCAAAACTAGACAGAAGCATTCTAAGAAACATTTTTGGGATATATGTACTCAACTAACAGAGTTGAACCTTTCTCTTTATAGATCAGTTTTGGAAAGCTCTTTATGTGGAATCTGCAGATGGATATTCGGATAGCTCTGAGGATTTCGTTGGAGACGGGAATACATAAAGAAAGTAGACAGCAGCATTCTCAGGAGATTCTTTGTGATGTTTGCTTTTAAGTCACAGAGTTGAATATTCCCTTCAATAGAGCAGGTTTGAAACACTCTTTCTGTAGTATCTGGAAGTGGACATTTCGATCGATTTCAGGCCTATGTTGAAAAAGGAAATACCTTAACATAAAAACTAGACAGAAGCATTCTCAGAAACGTCTTTGTGATGTGTGTCCTCAACTAACAGAGTTCAACCTTTCTTATGATACAGCAGTTTGGAAACACTCTTTTTATAGAATTTGCAAGTTGATACATGGATAGCCCTAACTATTTCGTTGGAAACGGGAATATCTTCATATAAAACCTAGGCAGAAGCACTCTCAGAAACTACTTTGTGATATCTGCATTGATATCAGAGAGTTGAATATTCCCTTTCTAAGGGCAGGCTTGAAAGCGTCTTTTTGTGGAATCTGCAGGAGGATATTTGGATAGCTTTGAGGGTTACGTTGGAAACGGGATTACATATACAAAGTAGACAGCAGCATTCTCAGAAGCTTCTTTGTGATGTTTGCGTTTAAGTCACAGAGTTGAACGTTCCCTTTCATAGAGCAGGTTTCAAACCCTCTTTCTGCAGTATCTGGAAGTGGACATTTCGAGCGCTTTCAGGCCCATGGTGAACAAGGAAATATCTTCCCATGCAAACTAGACAGAAGCATTCACAGAAACTTGTTTGTGATGTGTGTCCTCAACTCACAGAGTTGAACATTTCGTTTGACAGAGCAGTTTGGAAACACGATTTTTGTAGAATCTGCAAGTGTATATTTGGATGGCTTTGTGGATTTCGTTGGAAACGGGAGTATCTTCATAGACAACCTAGACAGTAACATGCTCAGAAACTGTTTTGTGATATCTGCATTCACGTCACAGTGTTGAACATTCCCTTTCATAGAGCAGGTTTGAAACACACTTTCTGTAGTATCTGGATGTGGGCACTTGGAGCGCTTGGACGCTTATGGTGAAAAAGGACAGATCGTCCCATAAAAACTGGACAGAAGCATTCTCACAAACTGCTTTGTGACGTATGTCTTCAACTAACAGAGTTGAACCTTTCTATTCACAGAGCAGTTTTGAAAGACTCTTTTGGAGTATCTGCTAGTGGATATTTGGAGAGCTTTAAGGATTTCATTGGAAACCGGAATATCTTCAGGTAAAATCTAGACAGAGGCATTCTCAGAAACTTCTTCGTAATGTGTGTCCTCAACTAACAGTGTACAACCTATCTTTTGATACAGCACGTTGGAAACACTCTTTTTATAGAATCTGCAAGTGGATAGTTGGATAGCTCTAACGATTTCGTTGGAAACGGGAATACCTTCATATAAAATCTAGACAGTGGCACTCTCAGAAACTGCTTTGTGATATCTGCATTCAAGCCACAGAGTTGAACATTTCCCTTCCTAAAGCAGGTTTGAAACACTCTTTCTGTCGTATCTGGAAGTGGACATTTGGAGCACTTTGACGCCTTTGGTGAAAAAGGAAATGTCTTCCCATGAAAACTAGACAGAAGCATTCTAAGAAACATTTTTGGGATATATGTACTCAACTAACAGAGTTGAACCTTTCTCTTTATAGATCAGTTTTGGAAAGCTCTTTATGTGGAATCTGCAGATGGATATTCGGATAGCTCTGAGGATTTCGTTGGAGACGGGAATACATAAAGAAAGTAGACAGCAGCATTCTCGGGAGATTCTTTGTGATGTTTGCTTTGAAGTCACAGAGTTGAATATTCCCTTCAATAGAGCAGGTTTGAAACACTCTTTCCGTAGTATCTGGAAGTGGACATTTCGATCGATTTCAGGCCTATGTTGAAAAAGGAAATATCTTAACATAAAAACTAGACAGAAGCATTCTCAGAAACGTCTTTGTGATGTGTGTCCTCAACTAACAGAGTTCAACCTTTCTTATGATACAGCAGTTGGGAAACACTCTTTTTATAGAATTTGCAAGTTGATACATGGATAGCCCTAACTATTTCGTTGGAAACGGGAATATCTTCACATAAAACCTAGACAGAAAGCACTCTCAGAAACTACTTTGTGATATCTGCATTGATATCAGAGAGTTGAATATTCCCTTTCTAAGGGCAGGCTTGAAAGCGTCTTTTCGTGGAATCTGCAGGAGGATATTTGGATAGCTTTGAGGGTTACGTTGGAAACGGGATTACATGTACAAAGCAGACAGCAGCATTCTCAGAAGATTCTTTGTGATGTTTGCGTTTAAGTCACAGAGTTGAACGTTCCCTTTCATAGAGCATGTTTCAAACCCTCCTTCTGCAGTATCTGGAAGTGGACATTTCGAGCGCTTTCAGGCCTATGGTGAACAAGGATATATCTTCCCAAGCAAACTAGACAGAAGCATTCGCAGAAACTTGTTTGTGATGTGTGTCCTCAACTCACAGAGTTGAACATTTCGTTTGACAGAGCAGTTTGGAAACACGATTTTTGTAGAATCTTCAAGTGGATATTTGGATGGCTTTGTGGATTTCGTTGGAAACGGGAGTATCTTCATAGACAACCTAGACAGTAACATTCTCAGAAACGGCTTTGTGATATCCGCATTCACGTCACAGAGTTGAACATTCCCTTTCATAGAGCAGGTTTGAAACACCCTTTCTGAAGTATCTGGATGTGGGCACTTGGAGCTCTTGGACGCTTATGGTGAAAAAGGAAATATCGTCCCATAAAACCTAGACAGAAGCATTCTCACAAACTGCTTTGTGACGTATGTCGTCAGCTAACAGAGTTGAGCATTTCTATTCACAGAGCAGTTTTGAAAGACTCTTTTGGAGTATCTGCTAGTGGATATGTGGAGAGCTTTAAGGATTTCACTGGAAACCGGAATATCTTCAGGTAAAATCTAGACAGAGGCATTCTCAGAAACTTCTTTGTAATGTGTGTCCTCAACTAACAGTGTACAACCTATCTTTTGATACAGCACGTTGGAAACACTCTTTTTATAGAATCTGCAAGTGGATATTTGGATAGCTCTAACGATTTCGTTGGAAACGGGAATACCTTCATATAAAATCTAGACAGTGGCACTCTCAGAAACTGCTTTGTGATATCTGCATTCAAGCCACAGAGTTGAACATTTCCCTTCCTAAAGCAGGTTTGAAACACTCTTTCTGTCGTATCTGGAAGTGGACATTTGGAGCACTTTGACGCCTTTGGTGAAAAAAGGAAATGTCTTCCCATCAAAACTAGACAGAAGCATTCTAAGAAACATTTTTGGGATATATGTACTGAACTAACAGAGTTGAACCTTTCTCTTTATAGATCAGTTTTGGAAAGCTCTTTATGTGGAATCTGCAGATGGATATTCGGATAGCTCTGAGGATTTCGTTGGAGACGGGAATACATAAAGAAAGTAGACAGCAGCATTCTCGGGAGATTCTTTGTGATGTTTGCTTTTCAGTCACAGAGTTGAATATTCCCTTCAATAGAGCAGGTTTGAAACACTCTTTCTGTAGTATCTGGAAGTGGCCATTTCGATCGATTTCAGGCCTATGTTGAAAAAGGAAATATCTTAACATAAAAACTAGACAGAAGCATTCTCAGAAACGTCTTTGTGATGTGTGTCCTCAACTAACAGAGTTCAACCTTTCTTATGATACAGCAGTTTGGAAACACTCTTTTTATAGAATTTGCAAGTTGATACATGGATAGCCCTAAGTATTTCGTTGGAAACGGGAATATCTTCATATAAAACCTAGGCAGAAGCACTCTCAGAAACTACTTTGTGATATCTGCATTGATATCAGAGAGTTGAATATTCCCTTTCTAAGGGCAGGCTTGAAAGCGTCTTTTTGTGGAATCTGCAGGAGGATATTTGGATAGCTTGGAGGGTTACGTTGGAAACGGGATTACATATACAAAGTAGACAGCAGCATTCTCAGGAGATTCTTTGTGATGTTTGCGTTGAAGTCACAGAGTTGAACGTTCCCTTTCATAGAGCAGGTTTCAAACCCTCTTTCTGCAGTATCTGGAAGTGGACATTTCGAGCGCTTTCAGGCCCGTGGTGAACAAGGAAATATCTTCCCATGCAAACTAGACAGAAGCATTCGCAGAAACTTGTTTGTGATGTGTGTCCTCAACTCACAGAGTTGAACATTTCGTTTGACAGAGCAGTTTGGAAACACGATTTTTGTAGAATCTGCAAGTGGATATTTGGATGGCTTTGTGGATTTCGTTGGAAACGGGAGTATCTTCATAGACAACCTAGACAGTAACATTCTCAGAAACGGCTTTGTGATATCCGCATTCACGTCACAGAGTTGAACATTCCCTTTCATAGAGCAGGTTTGAAACACCCTTTCTGAAGTATCTGGATGTGGGCACTTGGAGCTCTTGGACGCTTATGGTGAAAAAGGAAATATCGTCCCATAAAACCTAGACAGAAGCATTCTCACAAACTGCTTTGTGACGTATGTCGTCAGCTAACAGAGTTGAGCGTTTCTATTCACAGAGCAGTTTTGAAAGACTCTTTTGGAGTATCTGCTAGTGGATATGTGGAGAGCTTTAAGGATTTCACTGGAAACCGGAATGTCTTCAGGTAAAATCTAGACAGAGGCATTCTCAGAAACTTCTTTGTAATGTGTGTCCTCAACTAACAGTGTACAACCTATCTTTTGATACAGCACGTTGGAAACACTCTTTTTATAGAATCTGCAAGTGGATATTTGGATAGCTCTAACGATTTCGTTGGAAACGGGAATACCTTCATATAAAATCTAGACAGTGGCACTCGCAGAAACTGCTTTGTGATATCTGCATTCAAGCCACAGAGTTGAACATTTCCCTTCCTAAAGCAGGTTTGAAACACTCTTTCTGTCGTATCTGGAAGTGGACATTTGGAGCACTTTGACGCCTTTGGTGAAAAAGGAAATGTCTTCCCATCAAAACTAGACAGAAGCATTCTAAGAAACATTTTTGGGATATATGTACTCAACTAACAGAGTTGAACCTTTCTCTTTATAGATCAGTTTTGGAAAGCTCTTTATGTGGAATCTGCAGATGGATATTCGGATAGCTCTGAGGATTTCGTTGGAGACGGGAATACATAAAGAAACTAGACAGCAGCATTCTCGGGAGATTCTTTGTGATGTTTGCTTTTAAGTCACAGAGTTGAATATTCCCTTCAATAGAGCAGGTTTGAAACACTCTTTCTGTAGTATCTGGAAGTGGACATTTCGATCGATTTCAGGCCTATGTTGAAAAAGGAAATATCTTAACATAAAAACTAGACAGAAGCATTCTCAGAAACGTCTTTGTGATGTGTGTCCTCAACTAACAGAGTTCAACCTTTCTTATGATACAGCAGTTTGGAAACACTCTTTTTATAGAATTTGCAAGTTGATACATGGATAGCCCTAACTATTTCGTTGGAAACGGGAATATCTTCACATAAAACCTAGACAGAAGCACTCTCAGAAACTACTTTGTGATATCTGCATTGATATCAGAGAGTTGAATATTCCCTTTCTAAGGGCAGGCTTGAAAGCGTCTTTTTGTGGAATCTGCAGGAGGATATTTGGATAGCTTTGAGGGTTACGTTGGAAACGGGATTACATATACAAAGTAGACAGCAGCATTCTCAGAAGCTTCTTTGTGATGTTTGCGTTTAAGTCACAGAGTTGAACGTTCCCTTTCATAGAGCAGGTTTCAAACTCTCTTTCTGCAGTATCTGGATGTGGACATTTCGAGCGCTTTCAGGCCCGTGGTGAACAAGGAAATATCTTCCCATGCAAACTAGACAGAAGCATTCGCAGAAACTTGTTTGTGATCTGTGTCCTCAACTCACGGAGTTGAACATTTCATTTGACAGAGCAGTTTGGAAACACGATTTTTGTAGAATCGGGAAGTGGATATTTGGATGGCTTTGTGGATTTCGTTGGAAACGGGAGTATCTTCATAGACAACCTAGACAGTAACATGCTCAGAAACTGCTTTGTGATATCTGCATTCACGTCACGGAGTTGAACATTCCCTTTCATAGAGCAGGTTTGAAACACACTTTCTGTAGTATCTGGATGTGGGCACTTGGAGCGCTTGGACGCTTATGGTGAAAAAGGACATATCGTCCCATAAAAACTGGACAGAAGCATTCTCACAAACTGCTTTGTGACGTATGTCTTCAACTAACAGAGTTGAACATTTCTATTTACAGAGCAGTTTTGAAAGACTCTTTTGGAGTATCTGCTAGTGGATATTTGGAGAGCTTTAAGGATTTCATTGGAAACCGGAATATCTTCAGGTAAAATCTAGACAGAGGCATTCTCAGAAACTTCTTCGTAATGTGTGTCCTCAACTAACAGTGTACAACCTATCTTTTGATACAGCACGTTGGAAACACTCTTTTTATAGAATCTGCAAGTGGATAGTTGGATAGCTCTAACGATTTCGTTGGAAACGGGAATACCTTCATATAATATCTAGACAGTGGCACTCTCAGAAACTGCTTTGTGATATCTGCATTCAAGACACAGAGTTGAACATTTCCCTTCCTAAAGCAGGTTTGAAACACTCTTTTTGTCGTATCTGGAAGTGGACATTTGGAGCACTTTGACGCCTTTGGTGAAAAAGGAAATGTCTTCCCATGAAAGCTAGACAGAAGCATTCTAAGAAACATTTTTGGGATATATGTACTCAACTAACAGAGTTGAACCTTTCTCTTTATAGATCAGTTTTGGAAAGCTCTTTATGTGGAATCTGCAGATGGATATTCGGATAGCTCTGAGGATTTCGTTGGAGACGGGAATACATAAAGAAAGTAGACAGCAGCATTCTCAGGAGATTCTTTGTGATGTTTGCTTTTAAGTCACAGAGTTGAATATTCCCTTCAATAGAGCAGGTTTGAAACACTCTTTCTGTAGTATCTGGAAGTGGACATTTCGATCGATTTCAGGCCTATGTTGAAAAAGGAAATACCTTAACATCAAAACTAGACAGAAGCATTCTCAGAAACGTCTTTGTGATGTGTGTCCTCAACTAACAGAGTTCAACCTTTCTTATGATACAGCAGTTTGGAAACACTCTTTTTATAGAATTTGCAAGTTGATACATGGATAGCCCTAACTATTTCGTTGGAAACGGGAATATCTTCATATAAAACCTAGGCAGAAGCACTCTCAGAAACTACTTTGTGATATCTGCATTGATATCAGAGAGTTGAATATTCCCTTTCTAAGGGCAGGCTTGAAAGCGTCTTTTTGTGGAATCTGCAGGAGGATATTTGGATAGCTTTGAGGGTTACGTTGGAAACGGGATTACATATACAAAGTAGACAGCAGCATTCTCAGAAGCTTCTTTATGATGTTTGCGTTTAAGTCACAGAGTTGAACGTTCCCTTTCATAGAGCAGGTTTCAAACCCTCTTTCTGCAGAATCTGGAAGTGGACATTTCGAGCGCTTTCAGGTCCGTGGTGAACAAGGAAATATCTTCCCATGCAAACTAGACAGAAGCATTCGCAGAAACTTGTTTGTGATGTGTGTCCTCAACTCACAGAGTTGAACATTTCGTTTGACAGAGCAGTTTGGAAACACGATTTTTGTAGAATCTGCAAGTGGATATTTGGATGGCTTTGTGGATTTCGTTGGAAACGGGAGTATCTTCATAGAAAACCTAGACAGTAACATTCTCAGAAACGGCTTTGTGATATCCGCATTCACGTCACAGAGTTGAACATTCCCTTTCATAGAGCAGGTTTGAAACACCCTTTCTGAAGTATCTGGATGTGGGCACTTGGAGCTCTTGGACGCTTATGGTGAAAAAGGAAATATCGTCCCATAAAACCTAGACAGAAGCATTCTCACAAACTGCTTTGTGACGTATGTCGTCAGCTAACAGAGTTGAGAATTTCTATTCACAGAGCAGTTTTGAAAGACTCTTTTGGAGTATCTGCTAGTGGATATGTGGAGAGCTTTAAGGATTTCACTGGAAACCGGAATATCTTCAGGTAAAATCTAGACAGAGGCATTCTCAGAAACTTCTTTGTAATGTGTGTCCTCAACTAACAGTGTACAACCTATCTTTTGATACAGCACGTTGGAAACACTCTTTTTATAGAATCTGCAAGTGGATATTTGGATAGCTCTAACGATTTCGTTGGAAACGGGAATACCTTCATATAAAATCTAGACAGTGGCACTCTCAGAAACTGCTTTGTGATATCTGCATTCAAGCCACAGAGTTGAACATCTCCCTTCCTAAAGCAGGTTTGAAACACTCTTTCTGTCGTATCTGGAAGTGGACATTTGGAGCACTTTGACGCCTTTGGTGAAAAAGGAAATGTCTTCCCATCAAAACCAGACAGAAGCATTCTAAGAAACATTTTTGGGATATATGTACACAACTAACAGAGTTGAACCTTTCTCTTTATAGAACAGTTTTGGAAAGCTCTTTATGTGGAATCTGCAGATGGATATTCGGATAGCTCTGAGGATTTCGTTGGAGACGGGAATACATAAAGAAAGTAGACAGCAGCATTCTCGGGAGATTCTTTGTGATGTTTGCTTTGAAGTCACAGAGTTGAATATTCCCTTCAATAGAGCAGGTTTGAAACACTCTTTCTGTAGTATCTGGAAGTGGCCATTTCGATCGATTTCAGGCCTATGTTGAAAAAGGAAATATCTCAACATAAAAACTAGACAGAAGCATTCTCAGAAACGTCTTTGTGATGTGTGTCCTCAACTAACAGAGTTCAACCTTTCTTATGATACAGCAGTTTGGAAACACTCTTTTTATAGAATTTGCATGTTGATATATGGATAGCCCTAACTATTTCGTTGGAAACGGGAATATCTTCATATAAAACCTAGACAGAAGCACTCTCAGAAACTACTTTGTGATATCTGCATTGATATCAGAGAGTTGAATATTCCCTTTCTAAGGGCAGGCTTGAAAGCGTCTTTTTTGTGGAATCTGCAGGAGGATATTTGGATAGCTTGGAGGGTTACGTTGGAAACGGGATTACATATACAAAGTAGACAGCAGCATTCTCAGAAGCTTCTTTATGATGTTTGCGTTTAAGTCACAGAGTTGAACGTTCCCTTTAATAGAGCAGGTTTCAAACCCTCTTTCTGCAGTATCTGGAAGTGGACATTTCGAGCGCTTTCAGGCCCATGGTGAACAAGGAAATATCTTCCCATGCAAACTAGACAGAAGCATTCGCAGAAACTTGTTTGTGATGTGTGTCCTCAACTCACGGAGTTGAACATTTCCTTTGACAGAGCAGTTCGGAAACACGATTTTTGTAGAATCTTCAAGTGGATATTTGGATGGCTTTGTGGATTTCGTTGGAAACGGGAGTATCTTCATAGACAACCTAGACAGTAACATGCTCAGAAACTGCTTTGTGATATCTGCATTCACGTCACAGAGTTGAACATTCCCTTTCATAGAGCAGGTTTGAAACACACTTTCTGTAGTATCTGGATGTGGGCACTTGGAGCGCTTGGACGCTTATGGTGAAAAAGGACATATCGTCCCATAAAAACTGGACAGAAGCATTCTCACAAACTGCTTTGTGACGTATGTCTTCAACTAACAGAGTTGAACATTTCTATTCACAGAGCAGTTTTGAAAGACTCTTTTGGAGTATCTGCTAGTGGATATTTGGAGAGCTTTAAGGATTTCATTGGAAACCGGAATATCTTCAGGTAAAATCTAGACAGAGGCATTCTCAGAAACTTCTTCGTAATGTGTGTCCTCAACTAACAGTGTACAACCTATCTTTTGATACAGCACGTTGGAAACACTCTTTTTATAGAATCTGCAAGTGGATAGTTGGATAGCTCTAACGATTTCGTTGGAAACGGGAATACCTTCATATAAAATCTAGACAGTGGCACTCTCAGAAACTGTTTTGTGATATCTGCATTCAAGCCACAGAGTTGAACATTTCCCTTCCTAAAGCAGGTTTGAAACACTCTTTCTGTCGTATCTGGAAGTGGACATTTGGAGCACTTTGACGCCTTTGGTGAAAAAGGAAATGTCTTCCCATGAAAACTAGACAGAATCATTCTAAGAAACATTTTTGGGATATATGTACTCAACTAACAGAGTTGAACCTTTCTCTTTATAGATCAGTTTTGGAAAGCTCTTTATGTGGAATCTGCAGATGGATATTCGGATAGCTCTGAGGATTTCGTTGGAAACGGGAATACATAAAGAAAGTAGACAGCAGCATTCTCAGGAGATTCTTTGTGATGTTTGCTTTTAAGTCACAGAGTTGAATATTCCCTTCAATAGAGCAGGCTTGAAACACTCTTTCTGTAGTATCTGGAAGTGGACATTTCGATCGATTTCAGGCCTATGTTGAAAAAGGAAATACCTTAACATAAAAACTAGACAGAAGCATTCTCAGAAACGTCTTTGTGATGTGTGTCCTCAACTAACAGAGTTCAACCTTTCTTATGATACAGCAGTTTGGAAACACTCTTTTTATAGAATTTGCAAGTTGATACATGGATAGCCCTAACTATTTCGTTGGAAACGGGAATATCTTCATATAAAACCTAGGCAGAAGCACTCTCAGAAACTACTTTGTGATATCTGCATTGATATCAGAGAGTTGAATATTCCCTTTCTAAGGGCAGGCTTGAAAGCGTCTTTTTGTGGAATCTGCAGGAGGATATTTGGATAGCTTTGAGGGTTACGTTGGAAACGGGATTACATATACAAAGTAGACAGCAGCATTCTCAGAAGCTTCTTTATGATGTTTGCGTTTAAGTCACAGAGTTGAACGTTCCCTTTCATAGAGCAGGTTTCAAACCCTCTTTCTGCAGTATCTGGAAGTGGACATTTCGAGCGCTTTCAGGCCCATGGTGAACAAGGAAATATCTTCCCATGCAAACTAGACAGAAGCATTCGCAGAAACTTGTTTGTGATGTGTGTCCTCAACTCACAGAGTTGAACATTTGGTTTGACAGAGCAGTTTGGAAACACGATTTTTGTAGAATCTGCAAGTGGATATTTGGATGGCTTTGTGGATTTCGTTGGAAACGGGAGTATCTTCATAGAAAACCTAGACAGTAACATTCTCAGAAACGGCTTTGTGATATCCGCATTCACGTCACAGAGTTGAACATTCCCTTTCATAGAGCAGGTTTGAAACACCCTTTCTGTAGTATCTGGATGTGGGCACTTGGAGCTCTTGGACGCTTATGGTGAAAAAGGAAATATCGTCCCATAAAACCTAGACAGAAGCATTCTCACAAACTGCTTTGTGACGTATGTCGTCAGCTAACAGAGTTGAGCATTTCTATTCACAGAGCAGTTTTGAAAGACTCTTTTGGAGTATCTGCTAGTGGATATGTGGAGAGCTTTAAGGATTTCACCGGAAACCGGAATATCTTCAGGTAAAATCTAGACAGAGGCATTCTCAGAAACTTCTTTGTAATGTGTGTCCTCAACTAACAGTGTACAACCTATCTTTTGATACAGCACGTTGGAAACACTCTTTTTATAGAATCTGCAAGTGGATATTTGGATAGCTCTAACGATTTCGTTGGAAACGGGAATACCTTCATATAAAATCTAGACAGTGGCACTCTCAGAAACTGCTTTGTGATATCTGCATTCAAGCCACAGAGTTGAACATCTCCCTTCCTAAAGCAGGTTTGAAACACTCTTTCTGTCGTATCTGGAAGTGGACATTTGGAGCACTTTGACGCCTTTGGTGAAAAAGGAAATGTCTTCCCATCAAAACTAGACAGAAGCATTCTAAGAAACATTTTTGGGATATATGTACTCAACTAACAGAGTTGAACCTTTCTCTTTATAGATCAGTTTTGGAAAGCTCTTTATGTGGAATCTGCAGATGGATATTCGGATAGCTCTGAGGATTTCGTTGGAGACGGGAATACATAAAGAAAGTAGACAGCTTGTCAAGGCTTTTTCTGCATCTATTGAGATAATCATGTGGTTTTTGTCTTTGGCTCTGTTTATATACTGGATTACATTTATTGATTTGCGTATATTGAACCAGCCTTGCATCCCAGGGATGAAGCCCACTTGATCATGGTGGATAAGTTTTTTGATGTGCTGCTGGATTCGGTTTGCCAGCATTTTATTGAGGACAGTCTAGTTTTTATGGGAAGATATTTCCTTTTTCCACATAGGCCTGAAATCGCTCGAAATGTCCTCTTCCAAATACTACAGAAAGAGAGTTTCAAACCTGCCTATGGAAGGGAATATTCAACTCTGTGACTTAAAAGGAAACATCACAAAGAAGCTCCTGAGAATGCTGC
>NC_000018.10:15780477-15788380 GCF_000001405.40 Homo sapiens
AAACAGAGATATAGATCAATGGAACAGAACAGAGCCCTCAGAAATAATGCCGCATATCTACAACTATCTGATCTTTGACAAACCTGAGAAAAACAAGCAATGGGGAAAGGATTCCCTATTTAATAAATGGTGCTGGGAAAACTGGCTAGCCATATGTAGAAAGCTGAAACTGGATCCCTTCCTTACACCTTATACAAAAATCAATTCAAGATGGATTAAAGATTTAAACGTTAAACCTAAAACAATAAAAACCCTAGAAGAAAACCTAGGCATTACCATTCAGGACATAGGCGTGGGCAAGGACTTCATGTCCAAAACACCAAAAGCAATGGCAACAAAAGACAAAATTGACAAATGGGATCTAATTAAACTAAAGAGCTTCTGCACAGCAAAAGAAACTACCAGCAGAGTGAACAGGCAACCTACAACATGGGAGAAAATTTTCACAACCTACTCATCTGACAAAGGGCTAATATCCAGAATCTACAATGAACTCAAACAAATTTACAAGAAAAAAACAAACAACCCCATCAAAAAGTGGGCGAAGGACATGAACAGACACTTCTCAAAAGAAGACATTTATGCAGCCAAAAAACACATGAAGAAATGCTCATCATCACTGGCCATCAGAGAAATGCAAATCAAAACCACTATGAGATATCATCTCACACCAGTTAGAATGGCAATCATTAAAAAGTCAGGAAACAACAGGTGCTGGAGAGGAGGCGGAGAAATAGGAACACTTTGACACTGTTGGTGGGACTGTAAACTAGTTCAACCATTGTGGAAGTCAGTGTGGCGATTCCTCAGGGATCTAGAACTAGAAATACCATTTGACCCAGCCATCCCATTACTGGGTATATACACAAATGAGTATAAATCATGCTACTATAAAGACACATGCACACGTATGTTTATTGCGGCACTATTCACAATAGCAAAGACTTGGAACCAACCCAAATGTCCAGCAATGATAGACTGGATTAAGAAAATGTGGCACATATACACCATGAAATACTATGCAGCCATAAAAAATGATGAGTTCATATCCTTTGTAGGGACATGAATGAAATTGGAAACCATCATTCTCAGTAAACTATCGCAAGAACAAAAAACCAAGCACTGCATATTCTCACTCATAGGTGGGAATTGAACAATGAGATCACATGGACACAGGAAGGGGAATATCACACTCTGGGGACTGTGGTGGGGTCGGGGGAGGGGGGGAGGGATAGCATTGGGAGATATACCTAATGCTAGATGACACATTAGTGGGTGCAGTGCACCACCATGGCACATGTATACATATGTAACTAACCTGCACAATGTGCACATGTACCCTAAAACTTAGAGTATAATAATAAAAAAAAAAAAAAAAAAAACTAGACAGAAGCATTCACAGAAATTTCTTTGTGATGTGGGTCCTCAACTAACAGAGTTCAACCTTTCTTATGATACAGCAGCTTGGAAACACTCTTTTTATACAATTTGCAACTGGATATATGGATAGCTCTAACTATTTCTTTGGAAAGGGGAATATCTTCATATAAAATATAGACAGAAGCACTCTCAGAAACTAATTTGTGATATCTGCATTCATATCACAGAGTTGAATATTCCCTTTCTAAGAGCGGGTTTGAAACCGTCTTTCTGTGGAATCTGCAGGAGGATATTTGGATAGCTTTGAGGATTTCGTTGGAAACGGGATTACATATACAAAGTAGACAGCAGCATTCTCAGAAGCTTCTTTGTGATGTTTGATTTTAAGTCACACAGTTGAACATTCCCTTTCGTAGAGCAGGTTTCAAACACTCTTTCTGTAGTATCTGGAAGTGGACATTTCGAGCGCTTTCAGGCCCATGGAGAACAAGGAAATATCTTCCCATGAAACCTAGACAGAAGCATTCGCAGAAACGTGTTTGTGATGTGCGTCCTCAACTCACAGAGTTGAACATTTCTTTGGACAGAGCAGTTTGGAAACACGCTTTTTGTAGAATCTGCAATTGGATATTTGGATAGCTTTGTGGATTTCGTTGGAAAGGGGAGTATCTTCATAGAAAACATAGACAGAAACATTATCAGAAACTGCTTGGTGATATCTGCATTCACGTCACAGAGTTGAACATTCCCTTTCATAGAGCAGGTATGAAACAATCTTTCTGTAGTATCTGGATGTGGACACTTGGAGCGCTTGGACGCTTACGGTGGAAAACGAAATATCTTCACATAAAAACTAGACAGAAGCATTCTCACAAACTGGTTTGTGATGTATGTCCTCAAATAACAGAGTTGAATATTTCTATTTACAGAGCAGTTTTGAAAGACTCTTTTTGGAGAATCTGCAAGTGGATATTTGGAGAGCTTTAAGGATTTCATTGGAAACCGGAATATCTTCAGGTAAAATCTAGACAGAGGCATTCTCAGAAACCTGTTTGTGATGTGTGTCCTCAACTATCAAAGTACAACCTGTCTTTTGATACAGGAGTTTCATAACACTCTTTTTGTAGAATCTGCAAGAGGATATTTGGATATCTCTAACGTTTTCGTTGGAAACGGGAATACCTTCATATAAAATCTAGACAGCGGCACTCTCAGAAACTGCTTTGTGATATCTACATTCAAGTCACAGAGTTGAACATTCCCTTTCTTAGAGCAGGTTTGAAACACTCTTTTGGTAGTATCTGGAAGTGGAAATTTGGAGCGCTTTGACGCCTTTGGTGAAAAAGGAAATGTCTTCCCATCAAAACTAGACAGAAGCATTCTAAGAAACTTCTTTGGGATATATGTACTCAACTCACAGAGTTGAACCTTTCTCTTTATAGATCAGTTTTGAAAAGCTCCTTTTGTGGAATCTGCAAATGGATATTAGGATAGCTCTGAGGATTTCATGGGAGACGGGAATAAATATAAAAAGTAGACATCAGCATTCTCAGGAGCTTCTTTGTGATATTTGCTTTTAAGTCACTGAGTGGAATATTCCCTTTCATAGAGCAGGTTTGAAACACACTTTCTGTAGCATGTGGAAGGGGACATTTCGACTGATTTCATGCCTATGTTGAAAAAGTAAATACCTTCCCATGCAAACTAGACAGAAGCTTTCGCAGAAACTTGTTTGTGATGTGTATCCTCAACTCACAGAGTTGAACATTTCATTGGACAGAGCAGTTTCGAAACACGCTTTTTGTAGAATCTGCAAGTGGCTATTTGGATAGCTTTATGGATTTCGTTGGAAACGGGAATACCTTCACATAAAATCTAGACAGTGGCACTCTCCGAAACTGCTTTGTGATATCTGCATTCAAGTCACAGAGTTGAACATTCCCTTTCATAGAGCAGGTTTGAAACACTATTTCTGTAGTATCTGGATCTGGACACTTGGAGCGCGTGGACGCTTACGGTGAAAAAGGAAATATCTTCCCATAAAAACAAGACAGAAGCATTCACACAAACTGGTTTGTGATGTTTGTCCTCAACTAACAGAGTTGAACATTTCAATTTACAGAACAGTTTTGAAAGTCTCTTTTTGGAGAATCTGCAAGTGGATATTTGGAGAGCTGTAATTGAAAAGCTTTAAGGATTTCATTGGGAAGCAGAATATCCTCAGGTAAAAAGTAGACAGAGGCATTCTCAGAAAATTCTTTGTGATGTGTGTCCTCAACTAACAGAGTACAACCTGTCTTTTGATACAGCAGTTTGGAAACACTCTTTTTCCAGAATCTGCAAGTGGAAATTTGGATAGCTCTAACGATTTCGTTGGAAACGGGAATACCTTCATATGAAATCTAGACAGTGGCACTCTCAGAAACTGCTTTGTGATATCTGCTTTCAAGTCACAGAGTTCAACATTTCCTTTCATAAAGCAGGTTTAAAACACTCTTTTGGTAGTATCTGGAAGTGGACATTTGGAGAACTTTGACGCCTTTGGTGAAAAAGGAAATGTCTTCACATCAAAACTAGACCGAAGCATTCTAAGAAACTTCTTTGGGATATATGTACTCAACTCACAGAGTTGAACCTTTCTCTTTAGAGATCAGTTTTGAAAAGCTCTTTGTGTGGAATCTGCAAATGGATATTAGGATAGCTCTGAGGATTTCGTTGGAGACGGGATTATATATAAAAAGTAGACAGCAGCATTCTCAGGAGCTTCTTTGTGATGTTTGCTTTTAAGTCACAGAGTTGAATATTCCCTTCCATACAGCAGGTTTGAAAAACTCTTTCTGTCGTATCTGGAAGTGGACATTTCGGGCGATTTCAGGCCTATGTGGAAAAAGGAAATATCTTCCCATAAAAACTAGACAGAACCATTCTCAGAAACTTCTTTGTGATGTGGGTCCTCAACTAACAGAGTTCAACCTTTCTTATGATACAGCAGCTTGGAAACACACTTTTTATACAATTTGCAACTGGATATATGAATAGCTCTAACTATTTCATTGGAAACGGGAATATCTTCATATAAAATCTCCACAGAAGCACTCTCAGAAACTACTTTGTGATATCTGCATTCATATCACAGAGTTGAATATTCCCTTTCTAAGAGCAGGTTTGAAACCGACTTTCTGTGGAATCTGCAGGAGGATATTTAGATAGCTTTGAGGATTTCTTTGGAATCGGGATTACATACACAAAGTAGACAGCAGCATTCTCAAAAGCTTCTTTGTGATGTTTGCTTTTAAGTAACAGAGTTGAACATTCCCTTTCATAGAGCAGGTTTCAAACACTCTTTCTGTAGTATCTGGAAGTGGACATTTCGAGGGCTTTCAGGCCTATGGTGAACAAGGAAATATCTTCCCATGAAAACTAGACAGAAGCTTTCGCAGTAACCTGTTTGTGATGTGTGTCCTCAACTCACAGAGTTGAACATTTCGTTGGACAGAGCAGTTTGGAACATGCTTTTTGTAGAATCTGCAAGTGGATATTTGGATAGCTTTGTGGATTTCGTTGGAAACGGGAGTATCTTCATATACAACCTAGACAGAATCATTCTCAGAAACTGCTTTGTGATATCTGCATTCACGTCACAGAGTTGAACATTCCTTTTCATAGAGCAGGTTTGAAACACTCTTTCTGTAGTATCTGGATCTGGACACTTGGAGCGCTTGGACGCTTACGGTGAAAAAGGAAATATCTTCCCATAAAAACTAGACAGAAGCATTCTCACAAACTGGTTTGTGATGTATGTCCTCAACTAACAGAGTTGAACATTTCAATTTACAGAGCAGTTTTGAAAGACTCTATGTGGAGAATCTGCAAGTGGATATTCGGAGAGCTTTTATTGAAGAGCTTTAAGGATTTTATTGGGAACCGGAATATCTTCAGGTAAAAACTAGACAGAGGCATTCTCAGAAATTTCTTTGTGATGTGTGTACTCACCGACCAGAGTACAACCTGTCTTTTGATACAGCAGTTTGGAAACACTCTTTTTACAGAATCTGCAAGTGGATATTTGGATAGCTCTAACGATTTCGTGGGAAACGGGAACACCTTCATATAAAATCTAGACAGTGGCACTCTCAGAAACTGCTTTGTGATATCTGCATTCAAGTCACAGAGTTCAACATTTCCTTTCTTAAAGCAGGTTTAAAACACTCTTTTGGTAGTATCTGGAAGTGGACATTTGGAGCACTTTGACGCCTTTGGTGAAAAAGGAAATGTCTTCACATCAAAACTAGACCGAAGCATTCTAAGAAACTTCTTTGGGATATATGTACTCAACTAACAGAGTTGAACCTTTCTCTTTATAGATCAGTTTTGAAAAGCTCTTTGTGTGGAATCTGCAAATGGTTATTAGGATAGCTCTGAGGATTTCGTTGGAGACGGGATTACATATAAAAAGTAGACAGCAGCATTCTCAGGAGATTCTTTGTGATGTTTGCTTTTAAGTCACAGAGTTGAATATTCCCTTCCATAGAGCAGGTTTGAAACACTCTTTCTGTAGTATCTGGAAGTGGACATTTCGGGCGATTTCAGGCCTATGTGGAAAAAGGAAATATCTTCCCATAAAAACTAGACAGAAGCATTCTCAGAAACTTCTTTGTGATGTGGGTCCTCAACTAACAGAGTTCAACTTTTCTTATGATACAGCAGCTTGAAAACACACTTTTTATAGAATTTGCAACTGGATACATGGATAGCTCTAACTATCTCGTTGGAAACGGGAATATCTTCATATAAAATCTCCACAGAAGCATTCTCAGAAACTACTTTGTGATATCTGCATTCACATCACAGAGTTGAACATTCGCTTTCATAGAGCAGGTGTGAAACACTCTTTCTGCAGTATCTGGATGTGGACACTTGGAGCGCTTTGACGCTTACGGTGCAAAAGGAAATATCTTCCCATAAAAACTAGACAGAAGCATTCTCACAAACTGGTTGGTGATGTATGTCCTCAACTAACAGAGTTGAACCTTTCTATTTACAGAGCAATTTTGAAAGACTCAGTTGGAGAATCTGCAAGTCGATATTTGGAAAGCTTTAAGGATTTCATTGGAAACCGGAATATCTCCAGGTAAAATCTAGAAAGAGGCATTCTCAGAAACTTCTTTGTGATGTGTGTCCTCACGTAACACAGTACAACCTGTCTTTAGATACAGCAGTTTGGAAACACTCTTTCTGTAGAATCTGCAAGTGGATAGTTGGATAGCTCAAGCTATTTCGTTGGAAAGGGGAATATCTTCATATAAACTCTAGACAGAAGCACTCTCAGAAACTAATTTGTGATATCTGTATTCAAGTCACAGAGTTGAATATTCCCTTTCTTAGAGCAGGTTTGAACCCGTCTTTTCGTGGAATCTGCAGGAGGATATTTGGATAGCTTTGAGGATTTCGTTGGAAACCGGATTACATATACAAAGTAGACAGCAGCATTCTCAGAAGCTGCTTTGTGATGTTTGCTTTTAGTCACAGAGTTGAACATTCCCTTTCATGGAGCAGGTTTCAAACACTCTTTCTATAGTATCTGGAAGAGGACATTTCGAGCGCTTTCAGGCCTATGGTGATCAAGGAAATATCTTCCCATAAAAACTTGACAGAACCATTCTCACAAACTGGTTTGGGATGTATGCCCTCATCCAACAGAGTATAACCTGTCTTTTGATACAGCAGTATAGAAAAACTCTTTCTGTAAAATCTGCAAGTGGATATTTCGATAGCTCTAACGATTTCGTTGGAAACGGGAATACTTTAATATAAAACCTAGACAGAGGCACTCTCAGAAACTGCTTTGTGATATGTGCATTCAAGTCACAGAGTTGAACATTCCCTTTATTAGAGCAGGTTTGAAACACTCCTTTGTATTATCTGGAAGTGGACATTTGGAGCGCTTTGACGCCTTTGGTGAAAAAGGAAATATCTTCCCATAAAAACCAGACAGAAGCATTCTCAGAAACTTCTTTGTGATGTGTGTCCTCAACTAACAGAGTTCAACCTCTCTTATGATACAGAAGTTTGGAAATACTCTTTTTGTAGAATATGCAAGGGGATATTTGGATAGCTCGAAGTATTTCGTTGGAAACGGGAATATCTTCATATAAAATCTAGACAGAAGCACTCTCAGGAACTACTTTGTGATATCTGCATTCAAGTCACAGAGTTGAATATTCCCTTTCTTAGAGCAGGTTTGAAACCTTCTTTTCTTAGAATCTGCAGGTGGATATTTGGATAGCTTTCAGGATTTCGTTGCAAACGGGATTACACATACAAAGTAGACAGTAGCATTCTCAGAAGCTTCTCTGTGATGTTTGCTTTTAAGTCACAGAGTTGAACATTCCCTTTCATAGAGCAGGTTTGAAACACTCTTTCTGTAGTATCTGGAAGTGGACATTTCGAGCGCTTTCAGGCCTATGGGTGAAAAAGGAAATATCTCCCATAAAAACTAGACAGAAGCATTCTCAGAAACTTA
>NC_000018.10:15791047-15797755 GCF_000001405.40 Homo sapiens
TTAGTTTATGGAAGTGGACATTTGGAGCGCTTTCAGGCCTACGTTGGAAAAGGAAATATCTTCCCATAAAAACTAGACAGAAGCATTCTCAGAAACTTACTCGTGATATGTGTCCTCAGCTAAAGGAGTAGAACCTTTCTTTTCATAGAGCAGTTTTGAAACACTCTTTTTGTAGAATCTGCAAGTGGATATTTCGATAGCTTTGTGGATTTCGTTGGAAACGGGAATATCTTCATATAAAATCTAGACAGAAGCATTCTCAGAAACTTCCTTGTGATGGTTGCATTCAAGTCACAGAGTTGAACATTCGCTTTCATAGAGCAGGTTTGAAGCACTCTTTTTCCATTACCTGGAAGTGGACATTTGGAGCGCTTTGAGGCCTATGGTGAAAAAGGAAATATCTTCCCAAAAAAACTAGACAGAAGCATTCTCAGAAACTTATTTGTGATGTGTGTCCTCAACTGACAGAGTTGAACATTACTTTTGAGAGAGCAGTTTTGAAACACTCTTTTTGTGGAATCTGCAAGTGGATATTTGGCTGGCTTTGAGGATTTCGTTGGAAACGCGAATACATATAAAAAGCAGACAGCAGCGTTCTGAGAAACTTCTTGGTGATGTTTGCAATCAAGTCACAGAATTGAACATTCCCTTTGATAGAACAGGTTTGAAGCACTCCTTTTGTCATATCTGGAAGTGTCCATTTGGAGCGCATTCAGGCTTGTGTTGAAAAAGGAAATATCTTCCCATAAAAACTAGACAGAAGCATTCTCAGAAACTTATTTGAGATGTGTGTACTCAACTAAGAGAATTGAACCACCGTTTTGAAGGAGCAGATTTGAAACACTCTTTTTCTGGAATCTGCAAGAGGATATTTGGCTAGCTTTGCGGATTTCGCTGGAAGAGGGAATACATATAAAAAGCACACAGCAGCGTTCTGAGAAACGGCTTTCTGCTGCTTGCATTCAAGTCAAAAGTTGAACACTCCCTTTCATAGAGCAGGCTTGAAACACCCCTTTTGTACTATCTGGAAGTGGACATTTGGGGCGCTTTCAGGGCTAAGGTGAAAAAGGAAATATCTTCCCACAAAAACTAGACAGAAGCATTCTCAGAAACTTGTTTATGCTGTATCTACTCAACTAACAAAGTTGAACCTTTCTTTTCATAGATCAGTTTTGAAATGCTCTTTTTGTGGAATCTGCAAGTGGATATTTGGCTAGTTTTGAGGATTCCGTTGGAAGCGGGAATTCATACAAATTGCAGACTGCAGCGTTCTGAGAAACATCTTTGTGATGTTCGTATTCAGGACACAGAGTTGAACATTCCCTATCATAGAGCAGGTTGGAATCACTCCTTTGTAGTATCTGGAAGTGGAAATTTGGAGCTCTTTCAGGCCTAGGTTGAAAAAGGAAATATCTTCCCAAAACAACTAGACAGAAGCATTCTCAGAAACTTGTTTGAGATGTGTGCCCTCTACTGACAGAGTTGAACCTTTCTTTTCATAGAGCAGTTTTGAAACACTCTTTTTGTAGAATCTGCAAGAGGATATTTGCATAGCTTTCAGGATTTCGTTGGAAACGGGATTGTCTTCAGATAAAATCTAGACAGAAGCATTCTAAGAATCTTCTTTGGGATGTTTGCATTCAAGTCACAGAGTAGAACATTCCCTTTGGTAGAGCAGGTTTGAAACACTCTTTTTTTAGTATATGGTAGTGGACATTTGAAGCGCTTTCAGGCCTACGTTGGAAAAGGAAATATCTTCCCATAACAACTAGACAGAAGCATTCTCAGAAACTAGTTTCTGATGTGTGTCCTCAACTAACAGAGTTGAACATTTCTTTTGACAGAACAGTTTTGAAACACTTTTTTTTTGGAATCTGCAAGTGGATATTTGGCTAGATTTGAGGATTTCGTTGGAAACGGGATTACATATAAAAAGCAGACAGCAGCATTCTCAGAAACTTGTTTGTGATGATTGCATTCAAGTCACAGAATTGAACATTCCCTTTCACAGAGCAGGTTTGAAACACTCTTTTTGTAGTGTCTGTAAGTGGACATTTGGAGCGCTTTCCGGCCTAAGGTGAAAAAGGAAATATCTTCCCATAAAAACTAGACAGAAGCATTCTCAGAAACTTACTCGTGATGTGTGTCCTCAACTAAAGGAGTAGAACCTTTCTTTTCATAGAGAAGTTTTGAAACGCTCTTTTTGTGGAATCTGCAAGTGGATATTTGGCTAGTTTTGAGGATTTCGTTGGAAGCGGTAATTCATACAAATTGCAGACTGCAGCGTTCTGAGAAACATTTTGTGATGTTTGTATTCAGGACACAGAGTTGAACATTCCCTATCATAGAGCATTTTTGATTCACTCCTTTTGTAGTATCTGGAAGTGGACATTTGGAGCGCTTTCAGGCCTATGTTGAAAAAGGAAATATCTTCCCATAACAACTAGACAGAAGAATTCTCAGAAACTTCTTTGTGATGTGTACCCTCTACTGACAGAGTTGAACCTTTCTTTTCATAGAGCAGTTTCGAAACACTCTTTCTGTAGAATCTGCAAGTGGATATTTCGATAGCTTTGTGGATTTCGTTGGAAACGGGAATATCTTCATATAAAATCTAGACAGAAGCATTCTCAGAAACTTCCTTGTGATGGTTGCATTCAAGTCACAGAGTTGAACATTCGCTTTCATAGAGCAGGTTTGAAACACTCTTTTTCCATTACCTGGAAGGGGACATTTGGAGCGCTTTGAGGCCTATGGTGAAAAAGGAAATATCTTCCCATAAAAACTAGACAGAAGCATTCTCAGAAACGTATTTGTGATGTGTGTCCTCAACTGACAGAGTTGAACATTTCTTTTGAGAGAGCAGTTTTGAAACACTCTTTTTGTGGAATCTGCAAGTGGATATTTGGCTGGATTTGAGGATTTCGTTGTAAACGGGAATACATATAAAAAGCAGACAGCAGCGTTCTGAGAAACCTCTTGGTGACGTTTGCAATCAAGTCACAGAATTGAACATTCCCTTTGATAGAACAGGTTTGAAACACTCCTTTTGTCATATCTGGAAGTGTCCATTTGGAGCGCATTCAGGCTTGTGTTGAAAAAGGAAATATCTTCCCATAAAAACTAGACAGAAGCATTCTCAGAAACTTATTTGTGATGTGTGTCCTCAACTGACAGAGTTGAACATTTCTTTTGAGAGAGCAGTTTCGAAACACTCTTTGTGTGGAATCTGCAAGAGGATATTTGCATAGCTTTGAGGATTTCGTTGGAAACGGGATTGTCTTCAGATCAAATCTAGACAGAAGCATTCTAAGAATCTTCTTTGGGATGTTTGCATTCAAGTCACAGAGTAGAACATTCCCTTTGGTAGAGCAGGTTTGAAGCACTCTTTTTGTAGTATCTGGAAGTGGACATTTGGAGCGCTTTCAGGCCTACGTTGGAAAAGGAAATATCTTCCCATAACAACTAGACAGAAGCATTCTCAGAAACTAGTTTCTGATGTGTGTCCTCAACTAACAGAGATGAACATTTCTTTTGACAGAACAGTTTTGAAACACTCTTTTTGTGGAATCTGCAAGTGGATATTTGGCTATATTTGAGGATTTCGTTGGAAACGGGATTACATATAAAAAGCAGACAGCAGCATTCTCAGAAACTTACTCGTGATGTGTGTCCTCAACTAAAGGAGTAGAACCTTTCTTTTCATAGAGAAGTTTTGAAACGCTCTTTTTGTGGAATCTGCAAGTGGATATTTGGCTAGTTTTGAGGATTTCGTTGGAAGCGGGAATTAATACAAATTGCAGACTGTAGCGTTCTGAGAAACATCTTTGTGATGTTTGTATTCAGGACACAGAGTTGAATATTCCCTATCATAGAGCAGGTTGGAATCACTCCTTTTGTCGTATCTGGAAGTGGACGTTTGGAGCATTTTCAGGCCTATGTTGGAAAAGGAAATATCCTCCCATAACAGCTAGACAGAAGCATTCTCAGAAACCTATTGGAGATGTGTGTACTCAACTAGGAGAATTGAACCACCGTTTTGAAGGAGCAGTTTTGAAATACTCTTTTTCTGGAATCTGCAAGTGGATATTTGGCTAGCTTTGGGGATATCGCTGGAAGCGGGAATACATATAAAAAGCACACAGCAGCGTTCTGAGAAACTGCTTTCTGATGTTTGCATTCAAGTCAAAAGTTGAACACTCCCTTTCATAGAGCAGGCCTGAAACACCCCTTTTGTAGTATCTGGAAGTGGACATTTGGAGCGCTTTCAGGGCTAAGGTGAAAAAGGAAATATCTTCCCATAAAAACTGGACAGAAGCATTCTCAGAAACTTGTCCATGCTGTATCTACTCAACTAACAAAGTTGAACCTTTCCTTTGATAGAGCAGTTTAGAAATGCTCTTTTTCTGGAATCTGCAAGTGGATATTTGGCTAGTTTTGAGGATTTCGTTGGAAGCGGGAAATCATACGAATTGCACACTGCAGCGTTCTGAGAAACACCTTTGTGATATTTGTATTCAGGACACAGACTTGAACATTCCCTATCGTAGAGCAGGTTGGAATCACTCCTTTTGTAGTATCTGGAAGTGGACATTTGGAGCGCTTTCAGGCCTATGTTGAAAAAGGAAATATCTTCCCAAAACAACTAGACAGAAGCATTCTCAGAAACTTGTTTGTGATGTGTGCCCTCTACTGACAGAGTTGAACCGTTCTTTTCATAGAGCAGTTTCGAAACACTCTTTGTCTGGAATCTGCAAGAGGATATTTGCATAGCTTTGAGGATTTCGTTGGAAACGGGATTGTCTTCAGGTAAATCTAGACAGAAGCATTCTCAGAAACTTCTTTGGGATGTTTGCATTCAAGTAACAGAGGAGAACATTCCCTTTGGTAGAGCAGGTTTGAAACACACTTTTTGTAGTATCTGGAAGTGGACATTTGGAGGGCTTTCAGGCCTACGTTGGAAAAGGAAATATCTTCCCATAACAACTAGACAGAAGCCTTCTCAGAAACTAGTTTCTGATGTGTGTCCTCAACTAACAGAGTTGAACCTTTCTTTTGACAGAACAGTTTAGAAACACTCTTTTTGAGGAATCTGCAAGTGGACATTTGGCTAGATTTGAGGATTTCGTTGCAAACGGGATTACATATAAAAAGCAGACAGCAGCATCCTCAGAAACTTCTTTGTGGTGGTGCCATTCAAGTCACAGGATTGACATTTCCCTTTCACAGAGCAGGTTTGAAACACTCTTTTGTAGTGTCTGTAAGTGGACATTTGGAGCGCTTTCCGGACTCAGGTGAAAAAGGAAATATCTTCCCATAAAAACTAGACAGAAGCATTCTCAGAAACTGACTCGTGATGTGTGTCCTCAACTAAAGGAGTAGAACCTTTCTTTTCATAGAGAAGTTTTGAAACGCTCTTTTTGTGGAATCTGCAAGTGGATATTTGGCTAGTTTTGAGGATTTCGTTGGAATCGGGAATTCATACAAATTGCAGACTGCAGCGTTCTGAGAAACATCTTTGTGATGTTTGTATTCAGGACACAGAGTTGAACATTCCCTATCATAGAGCAGGTTGGAATCACTCCTTTTGTCGTATCTGGAAGTGGACGTTTGGAGCGCTTTCAGGCATATGTTGGAAAAGGAAATATCCTCCCATAACAGCTACACAGAAGCATTCTCAGAAACCTATTTGAGATGTGTGTACTCAACTAGCAGAATTGAACCACCGTTTTGAAGGAGCAGTTTTGAAACACTCTTTTTCTGGAATCTGCAAGTGGATATTTGGCTAGATTTGGGGATTTCGCTGGAAGCGGGAATACATATAAAAAGCACACAGCAGCGTTCTGAGAAACTGCTTTCTGATGTTTGCATTCAAGTCAAAAGTTGAACACTCCCGTTCATAGAGCAGGCTTGAAACACCCCTTTTGTAGTATCTGGAAGTGGACATTTGGAGCGCTTTCAGGGCTAAGGTGAAAAAGGAAATATCTTCCCATAAAAACTGGACAGAAGCATTCTCAGAAACTTGTCCATGCTGTATCTACTCAACTAACAAAGTTGAACCTTTCTTTTGATAGAGCAGTTTTGAAATGCTCTTTTTCTGGAATCTGCAAGTGGATATTTGGCTAGTTTCGAGGATTTCGTTGGAAGCGGGAATTCATACGAATTGCAGACTGCAGCGTTCTGAGAAACATCTTTGTGATGTTTGTATTCAGGACACAGGGTTGAACATTACCTATCGTAGAGCAGGTTGGAATCACTCCTTTTGTAGTATCTGGAAGTGGCCATTTGGAGCGCTTTCAGGCCTATGTTGAAAAAGGAAATATCTTCCCAAAACAACTAGACAGAAGCATTCTCAGAAACTTGTTTGTGATGTGTGCCCTCTACTGACAGAGTTGAACCTTTCCTTTCATAGAGCAGTTTCGAAACACTCTTTGTGTAGAATCTGCAAGAGGATATTTGCATAAGTTTGAGGATTTCGTTGGAAACGGGATTGTCTTCAGGTAAAATCAAGACAGAAGCATTCTCAGAAACTTCTTTGGGATGTTTGCATTCAAGTCACAGAGGAGAACATTCCCTTTGGTAGAGCAGGTTTGAAACACTCTTTTTGTAGTATCTGGAAGTGGACATTTGGAGCGCTTCCAGTCCTACGTTGGAAAAGGAAATATCTTCCCATAACAACTAGACAGAAGCCTTCTCAGAAACTAGTCT
>NC_000018.10:15797855-15914237 GCF_000001405.40 Homo sapiens
AGCATTCTCAGAAACTTATTTGAGATGTGTGTACTCAACTAAGAGAATTGAACCACCGTTTTGAAGGCGCAGTTTTGAAACACTCTTTTTCTGGCATCTGCAAGAGGATATTTGCCTAGCCTTGAGGATTTCGTTGGAAACGGGATTGTCTTCAGATAAAATCTAGACAGAAGCATTCTCAGAAACTTCTTTGGGATGTTTGCATTCAAGTCACAGAGTAGAACATTCTCTTTGGTAGAGCAGGTTTGAAACACTCTTTTTTTAGTATATGGAAGTGGACATTTGGAGCGCTTTCAGGCCTACGTTGGAAAAGGAAATATCTTCCCATAACAACTAGACAGAAGCATTCTCAGAAACTAGTTTCTGATGTGTGTCCTCAACTAACACAGTTGAACTTTTCTTTAGACAGAACAGTTTTGAAACACTCTTTTTGTGGAATCTGCAAGTGGATATTTGGCTAGATTTGAGGATTTCGTTGGAAACGGGATTACATATAAAAAGCAGACAGCAGCATTCTCAGAAAGTTCTTTGTGATGATTGCATTCAAGTCACAGAATTGAACATTCCCTTTCACAGAGCAGGTTTGAAACACTCTTTTTGTAGTGTGTGTAAGTGGACATTTGGAGCGCTTTCCGGCCTAAGGTGAAAAAGGAAATATCTTCCCATAAAAACTAGACAGAAGCATTCTCAGAAAGTTACTCGTGATGTGTGTCCTCAACTAAAGGAGTAGAACCTTTCTATTCATAGAGAAGTTTTGAAACGCTCTTTTTGTGGAATCTCCAAGTGGATATTTGGCTAGTTTTGAGGATTTCGTTGGAAGCGGGAATTCATACAAATTGCAGACTGCAGCGTTCTGAGAAACATCTTTGTGATGTTTGTATTCAGGACACAGAGTTGAACATTCCCTATCATAGAGCAGGTTGGAATCACTCCTTTTGTAGTATCTGGAAGTGGACATTTGGAGCGCTTTCAGGCCTATGTTGAAAAAGGAAATACCTTCCCATAACAGCTAGACAGAAGCATTCTCAGAAACTTGTTTGTGATGTGTGCCCTGTACTGACACAGTTGAACCTTTCTTTTCATAGAGCACTTTCGAAACACTCTTTTTGTAGAATCTGCAAGAGGATATTTGCATAGCTTTGAGGATTTCGTGGGAAACGGGATTGTCTTCAGGTAAAATCTAGACAGAAGCATTCTCAGAAAATTCTTCGGGATGTTTGCATTCAAGTCACAGAGTAGAACATTCCCTTTGGTAGAGCAGGTTTGAAACACTCTTTTTGTAGTATCTGGAAGTGGACATTTGGAGCGCTATCAGGCCTATCTTGGAAAGGGAAATACCTTCCCGTAACAACTAGGCAGAAGCATTCTCAGAAACTTATTTGAGATGTGTGTACTCAACTAAGAGAATTGAACCACCGTTTTGAAGGAGCAGTTTTGAAACCCTCTTTTTCTGGAATCTGCAAGAGGATATTTGCCTAGCCTTGAGGATTTCGTTGGAAACGGGATTGTCTTCAGATAAAATCTAGACAGAAGCATTCTCAGAAACTTCTTTGGGATGTTTGCATTCAAGTCACAGAGTAGAACATTCCCTTTGGTAGAGCAGGTTTGAAACACTCTTTTTTTAGTATATGGAAGTGGACATTTGGATCGCTTTCAGGCCTACGTTGGAAAAGGAAATATCTTCCCATAACAACTAGACAGAAGCATTCTCAGAAACTAGTTTCTGATGTGTGTCCTCAACTAACACAGTTGAACATTTCTTTAGACAGAACAGTTTTGAAACACTCTTTTTGTGGAATCTGCAAGTGGATATTTGGCTAGATTTGAGCATTTCGTTGGAAACGGGATTACATATAAAAAGCACACAGCGAAGCATTCTCAGAAAGTTCTTTGTGATGATTGCATTCAAGTCACAGAATTGAACATTCCCTTTCACAGAGCAGGTTTGAAAGACTCTTTTTGTAGTGTGTGTAAGTGGACATTTGGAGCACTTACCGGCCTAAGGTGAAAAAGGAAATATCTTCCCATAAAAACTAGACAGAAGCATTCTCAGAAACTTACTCGTGATGTGTGTCCTCAACTAAAGGAGTAGAACCTTTCTATTCATAGAGAAGGTTTGAAACGCTCTTTTTGTGGAATCTCCAAGTGGACATTTGGCTAGTTTTGAGGATTTCGTTGGATGCGGGAATTCATACAAATTGCAGACTGCAGCGTTCTGAGAAACTGCTTTCTGATGTTTGCATTCAAGTCAAAAGTTGAACACTCCCTTTCATAGAGCAGTCCTGAAACACTCCTTTTGTAGTATCTGGAACTGGACTTTTGGAGTGCTTTCAGGGCTAAGGTGAAAAAGGAAATATCTTCCCATAAAAACTGGACAGAAGCATTCTCAGAAACTTATTTGAGATGTGTGTACTCAACTAAGAGAATTGAACCACCGTTTTGAAGGAGCAGTTTTGAAACATTCTTTTTCTGGAATCTGCAAGTGGATATTTGGCTAGCTTTGGGGATTTCGCTGGAAGCGGGAATACATATAAAAAGCACACAGCAGCGTTCTGAGTAAACTGCTTTCTGATGTTTGCATTCAAGTCAAAAGTTGAACACTCCCTTTCATAGAGCAGTCCTGAAACACTCCTTTTGTAGTATCTGGAACTGGACTTTTGGAGCGCTTTCAGGGCTAAGGTGAAAAAGGAAATATCTTCCCATAAAAACTGGACAGAAGCATTCTCAGAAACTTGTTTATGCTGTATCTACTCAACTAACAAAGTTGAACCTTTCTTTTGATAGAGCAGTTTTGAAATGCTCTTTTTGTGGAATCTGCAAGTGGATATTTGGCTAGTTTTGAGGATTTCGTTGGAAGCGGGAATTCATACAAATTGCAGACTGCAGCGTTCTGAGAAACATCTTTGTGATGTTTGCATTCAGGACAGAGAGTTGAACATTCCCTATCATAGAGCAGGTTGGAATCACTCCTTTTGTAGTATCTGGAAGTGGACATTTGGAGCGCTTTCTGGCCTATGTTGAAAAAGGAAATATCTTCCCATAACAACTAGACACAAGCATTCTCAGAAACTTATTTGAGATGTGTGTACTCAACTAAGAGAATTGAACCACCCTTTTGAAGGAGCAGTTTTGAAACACTCTTTTTCTGGAATCTGCAAGTGGATATTTGGCTAGCTTTGGGGATTTCGCTGGAAGCGGGAATACATATAAAAAGCACACAGCAGCGTTCTGAGAAACTGCTTTCTGATGTTTGCATTCAAGTCAAAAGTTGAACACTCCCTTTCATAGAGCAGTCCTGAAACACTCCTTTTGTAGTATCTGGAACTGGACTTTTGGAGCGCTTTCAGGGCTAAGGTGAAAAAGGAAATATCTTCCCATAAAAACTGGACAGAAGCATTCTCAGAAACTTGTTTATGCTGTATCTACTCAACTAACAAAGTTGAACCTTTCTTTTGATAGAGCAGTTTTGAAATGCTCTTTTTGTGGAATCTGCAAGTGGATATTTGGCTAGTTTTGAGGATTTCGCTGGAAGCGGGAATTCATACAAATTGCAGACTGCAGCGTTCTGAGAAACATCTTTGTGATGTTTGTATTCAGGACAGAGAGTTGAACATTCCCTATCATAGAGCAGGTTGGAATCACTCCTTTTGTAGTATCTGGAAGTGGACATTTGGAGCGCTTTCAGCCTATGTTGAAAAAGGAAATATCTTCCCATAACAACTAGACACAAGCATTCTCAGAAACTTGTTTGTGATGTGTGCCCTCTACTGACAGAGTTGAACCTTTCTTTTCATAGAGCAGTTTTGAAACACTCTTTTTGTAGAATCTGCAAGACGGATATTTGCATAGCTTTGAGGATTTCGTGGGAAACGGGATTCTCTTCAGGTAAAATCTAGACAGAAGCATTCTCAGAAACTTCTTTGGGATGTTTGCATTCAAGTCACAGAGTAGAACATTCCCTTTGGTAGAGTAGGTTTGAAACACTCTTTTTGTAGTATCTGGAAGTGGACATTTGGAGCGCTTTCAGGCCCATGTTGGAAAAGGAAATATCTTCCTGTAACAACTAGGCAGAAGCATTCTCAGAAACTTATTTGAGATGTGTGTACTCAACTAAGAGAATTGAACAACCGTTTTGAAGGAGCAGTTTTGAAACACTCTTTTTCTGGAATCTGCAAGAGTATATTTGCCTAGCCTTGAGGATTTCGTTGGAAACGGGATTGTCTTCAGAGAAAATCTAGACAGAAGCATTCTCAGAAACTTCTTTGTGATGTTTGCATTCAAGTCACAGAGTAGAACATTCCCTTTGGTAGAGCAGGTTTGAAACACTCTTTTTGTAGTATCTGGAAGTGGACATTTGGAGCGCTTTCAGGCCTACGTTGGAAAAGGAAATATCTTCCCATAACAACTAGACAGAAGCTTTCTCAGAAACTAGTTTCTGATGTGTGTCCTCAACTAACAGAGTTGAACCTTTCTTTTGGCAGAACAGTTTTGAAACACTCTTTTTGAGGAACATGCAAGTGGATATTTGGCTAGATTTGAGGATTTCGATGGAAACGGGATTACATATAAAAAGCAGACAGCAGCATTCTCAGAAACTTCTTTGTGATGATTGCATTCAAGTCACAGAATTGAACATTCCCTTTCACAGAGAAGGTTTGAAACACTCTTTTTCTAGTGTGTGTAAGTGGACATTTGGAGCGCTTTCCAGCCTAAGGTGAACAAGGAAATATCTTCCCATAAAAACTAGACAGAAGCATTCTCAGAAACTTACTCGTGATGTGTGTCCTCAACTAAAGTAGTAGAACCTTTCTATTCATAGAGAAGTTTTGAAACGCTCTTTTTGTGGAATCTCCAAGTGGATATTTGGCTAGTTTTGAGGATTTCGTTGGAAGCGGGAATTCATACAAATTGCAGACTGCAGCGTTCTGAGAAACATCTTTGTGATGTTTGTATTCAGGACACAGAGTTGAACATTCCCTATCATAGAGCAGGTTGGAATCACTCCTTTTGTAGTATCTGGAAGTGGACATTTGGAGCGCTTTCAGGCCTATGTTGGAAAAGGAAATATCTTCCCATAACAACTAGACAGAAGCATTCTCAGAAACTTATTTGAGATGTGTGTACTCAACTAAGAGAATTGAACCACCGTTTTGAAGGAGCAGTTTTGAAACTCTCTTTTTCTGGAATCTGCAAGTGGATATTTGGCTAGCTTTGGGGATTTCGCTGGAAGCGGGAATACATATAAAAAGCACACAGCAGCGTTCTGAGAAATTGCTTTCTGATGTTTGCTTTCAAGTCAAAAGTTGAACACTCCCTTTCATAGAGCAGTCTTGAAACACCCCTTGTGTAGTATCTGGAACTGGACATTTGGAGCGCTTTCAGGGCTAAGGTGAAAAAGGAAATATCTTCCCATAAAAACTGGACAGAAGCATTCTCAGAAACTTGTTTATGCTGTATCTACTCAACTAACAAAGTTGAACCTTTCTTTTGATAGAGCAGTTTTGAAATGCTCTTTTTGTGGAATCTGCAAGTGGATATTTGGCTAGGTTTGAGGATTTCGTTGGAAGCGGGAATTCATACAAATTGCAGACTACAGTGTTCTGAGAAACATCTTTGTGATGTTTGTATTCAGGACACAGAGTTGAACATTCCCTATCATAGAGCAGGTTGGAATCACTACTTTTGTAGTATCTGGAAGTGGACATTTGGAGCGCTTTCAGGCCTATGTTGAAAAAGGAAATATCTTCCCATAACAACTAGGCAGAAGCATTCTCAGAAACTTGTTTGTGATGTGTGCCCTCTACTGACAGAGTTGAACCTTTCTTTTCATAGAGTAGTTTTGAAACACTCTTTTTGTAGAATCTGCAAGAGGATATTTGCATAGCTTTGAGGATTTCGTGTTAAACGGGATTGTCTTCAGGTAAAATCTAGACAGAAGCATTCTCAGAAACTCCTTTGGGATGTTTGCATTCAAGTCACAGAGTAGAACATTCCCTTTGGTAGAGCAGGTTTGAAACCCTCCTTTTGTAGTATCTGGAAGTGGACATTTGGAGCGCTTTCAGGCCCACGTTGGAAAGGGAAATATCTTCCCGTAACAACTAGGCAGAAGCATTCTCAGAAACTTATTTGAGATGTGTGTACTCAACTAAGAGAATTTAACCAACGTTTTGAAGGAGCAGTTTTGAAACACTCTTTTTCTGGAATCTGCAAGAGTATATTTGCCTAGCCGTGAGAATTTCGTTGGAAACGGGATTCTCTTCAGATAAAATCTAGACAGAAGCATTCTCAGAAACTTCTTTGGGATGGTTGCATTCAAGTCACAGAGTAGAACATTCCCTTTGGTAGAGCAGGTTTGAAACACTCTTTTTTTAGTATATGGAAGTGGACATTTGGAGCGCTTTCAGGCCTACGTTGGAAAAGGAAATATCTTCCCATAACAACTAGACAGAAGCATTCTCAGAAACTAGTTTCTGATGTGTGTCCTCAACTAACACAGTTGTACATTTCTTTAGACAGAACAGTTTTGAAACACTCTTTTTGTGGAATCTGCAAGTGGATATTGGGCTAGATTTGAGGATTTCGTTGGAAACGGGATTACATATAAAAAGCAGACAGCAGCATTCTCAGAAAGTTCTTTGGGATGATTGCATTCAAGTCACAGAATTGAACATTCCCTTTCACAGAGCAGGTTTGAAACACTCTTTTTGTAGTGTGTGTAAGTGGACATTTGGAGCGCATTCCGGCCTAAGGTGAAAAAGGAAATATCTTCCCATAAAAACTAGACAGAAGCACTCTCAGAAACTTACTCGTGATGTGTGTCCTCAACTAAAGGAGTAGAACCTTTGTTTTCATAGATAAGTTTTGAAACGCTCTTTTTGTGGAATCTGCAAGTGGATATTTGGCTAGTTTGGAGGATTTCGTTGGAAGCGGGAATTCATACAAATTGCAGACTGCAGCGTTCTGAGAAACATCTTTGTGATGTTTGTATTCAGGACACAGAGATGAACATTCCCTATCATAGAGCAGGTTGGAATCACTCCTTTTGTAGTATCTGGAAGTGGACATTTGGAGCGCTTTCAGGCCTATGTTGAAAAAGGAAATATCTTCCCATAACAACTAGACACAAGCATTCTCAGAAACTTATTTGAGATGTGTGTACTCAACTAAGAGAATTGAACCACCGTTTTGAAGGAGCAGTTTTGAAACACTCTTTTTCTGGAATCTGCAAGAGGATATTTGCCTAGCTTTGAGGATTTCGTTGGAATCGGGATTGTGTTCAGATCAAATCTAGACAGAAGCATTCTCAGAAACTTCTTTGGGATGTTTGCATTCAAGTCACAGAGTAGAACATTCACTTTGGTAGAGCAGGTTTGAAACACTCTTTTTGTAGTGTGTGTAAGTGGACATTTGGAGCGCTCTCAGGCCTACGTTGGAAAAGGAAATATCTTCCCATAACAACTAGACAGAAGCATTCTCAGAAACTTGTTTGTGATGTGTGCCCTCTACTGACACAGTTGAACCTTTCTTTTCATAGAGCACTTTCGAAACACTCTTTTTGTAGAATCTGCAAGAGGATATTTGCATAGCTTTGAGGATTTCGTGGGAAACGGGATTGTCTTCAGGTGAAATCTAGACAGAAGCATTCTCAGAAACTTCTTTGGGATGTTTGCATTCAAGTCACAGAGTAGAATATTCCCTTTGGTAGAGCAGGTTTGAAACACTCTTTTTGTAGTGTGTGTAAGTGGACATTTGGAGCGCTTTCAGGCCTACATTGGAAAAGGAAATATCTTCCCATAACAACTAGACAGAAGCATTCTCAGAAACTAGTTTCTGATGTGTGTCCTCAACTAACACAGTTGTACATTTCTTTAGACAGAACAGTTTTGAAACACTCTTTTTGTGGAATCTGCAAGTGGATATTTGGCTAGATTTGAGGATTTCGTTGGAAACGGGATTACATATAAAAAGCAGACAGCAGCATTCTCAGAAAGTTCTTTGTGATGATTGCATTCAAGTCACAGAATTGAACATTCCCTTTCACAGAGCAGGTTTGAAACACTCTTTTTGTAGTGTGTGTAAGTGGACATTTGGAGCGCTTTCCGGCCTAAGGTGAAAAAGGAAATATCTTCCCATAAAAACTAGACAGAAGCATTCTCAGAAACTTACTCGTGATGTGTGTCCTCAACTAAAGGAGTAGAACCTTTCTATTCATAGAGAAGTTTTGAAACGCTCTTTTTGTGGAATCTCCAAGTGGATATTTGGCTAGTTTTGAGGATTTCGTTGGAAGCGGGAATTCATACAAATTGCAGACTGCAGCGTTCTGAGAAACAACTTGGTGATGTTTGTATTCAGGACACAGAGTTGGACATTCCCTATCGTAGAGCAGGTTGGAATCACTCCTTTTGTAGTATCTGGAAGTGGACATTTGGAGCGCTTTCAGGCCTATGTTGAAAAAGGAAATATCTTCCCAAAACAACTAGACAGAAGCATTCTCAGAAACTTGTTTGTGATGTGTGCCCTCTAATGACAGAGTTGAACCTTTCTTTTCATAGAGCAGTTTCGAAACACTCTTTTTGTAGAATCTGCAAGAGGATATTTGCATAGCTTTGAGGATTTCGTTGGAAACGGGATTGTCTTCAGGTAAAATCTAGACAGAAGCATTCTCAGAAAATTCTTTGGGATGTTTGCATTCAAGTCACAGAGTAGAACATTCCCTTTGGTAGAGCAGGTTTGAAACCCTCTTTTTGTAGTATCTGGAAGTGGACATTTGGAGCGCTTTCAGGCCTATTTTGGAAAGGGAAATATCTTCCCGTAACAACTAGGCAGAAGCATTCTCAGAAACTTATTTGAGATGTGTGTACTCAACTAAGAGAATTGAACCACCGTTTTGAAGGAGCAGATTTGAAACACTCTTTTTCTGGAATCTGCAAGAGTATATTTGCCTAGCCTTGAAGATTTCGTTGGAAACGGGATTGTCTTCAGATAAAATCTAGACAGAAGCATTCTAAGAATCTTCTTTGGGATGTTTGCATTCAAGTCACAGAGTAGAACATTCCCTTTGGTAGAGCAGGTTTGAAGCACTCTTTTTGTAGTATCTGGAAGTGGACATTTGGAGCGCTTTCAGGCCTACGTTGGAAAAGGAAATATCTTCCCAATAACAACTAGACAGAAGCATTCTCAGAAACTAGTTTCTGATGTGTGTCCTCAACTAACACAGTTGTACATTTCTTTAGACAGAACAGTTTTGAAACACTCTTTTGGTGGAATCTGCAAGTGGATATTTGGCTAGATTTGAGGATTTCGTTGGAAATAGGATTACATATAAAAAGCAGTCAGCAGCATTCTCAGAAAGTTCTTTGTGATGATTGCATTCAAGTCACAGAATTGAACATTCCCTTTCACAGAGCAGGTTTGAAACACTCTTTTTGTAGTGTGTGTAAGTGGACATTTGGAGCGCTTTCCGGCCTAAGGTGAAAAAGGAAATATCTTCCCATAAAAACTAGACAGAAGCATTCTCAGAAACTTACTCGTGATGTGTGTCCTCAACTAAAGGAGTAGAACCTTTCTATTCATAGAGAAGTTTTGAAACGCTGTTTTTGTGGAATCTCCAAGTGGATATTTGGCTAGTTTTGAGGATTTCGTTGGAAGCGGGAATTCATACAAATTGCAGACTGCAGCGTTCTGAGAAACATCTTTGTGATGTTTGTATTCAGGACACAGTGATGAACATTCCCTATCATAGAGCAGGTTGGAATCACTCCTTTTGTAGTATCTGGAAGTGGACATTTGGAGCGCTTTCAGGCCTATGTTGAAAAAGGAAATATCTTCCCATAACAACTAGACACAAGCATCCTCAGAAACTTGTTTGTGATGTGTGCCCTCTACTGACAGAGTTGAACCTTTCTTTTCATAGAGCAGTTTTGAAACACTCTTTTTGTAGAATCTGCAAGAGGATATTTGCATAGCTTTGAGGATTTCGCGGGAAACGGGATTGTCTTCAGGTAAAATCTAGACAGAAGCATTCTCAGAAACTTCTTTGGGATGTTTGCATTCAAGTCACAGAGTAGAACATTCCCTTTGGTAGAGCAGGTTTGAAACACTCTTTTTGTAGTATCTGGAAGTGGACATTTGGAGCGCTTTCAGGCCTATGTTGGAAAGGGAAATATCTTCCCGTAACAACTAGGCAGAAGCATTCTCAGAAACTTATTTGAGATGTGTGTACTCAACTAAGAGAATTGAACCACCGTTTTGAAGGAGCAGTTTTGAAACACTCTTTTTCTGGAATCTGCAAGAGGATATTTGCCTAGCCTTGAGGATTTCGTTGGAAACCGGATTGTCTTCAGATCAAATCTAGACAGAAGCATTCTCAGAAACTTCTTTGGGATGTTTGGATTCAAGTCACAGAGTAGAACATTCCCTTTGGTAGAGCAGGTTTGAAACACTCTTTTTTTAGTATATGGAAGTGGACATTTGGAGCGCTTTCAGGCCTACGTTGGAAAAGGAAATATCTTCCCATAACAACTAGACAGAAGCATTCTCAGAAACTAGTTTCTGATGTGTGTCCTCAACTAACACAGTTGAACTTTTCTTTAGACAGAACAGTTTTGAAACACTCTTTTTGTGGAATCTGCAAGTGGATATTTGGCTAGATTTGAGGATTTCGTTGGAAACGGGATTACATATAAAAAGCAGACAGCAGCATTCTCAGAAAGTTCTTTGTGATGATTGCATTCAAGTCACAGAATTGAACATTCCCTTTCACAGAGCAGGTTTGAAACACTCTTTTTGTAGTGTGTGTAAGTGGACATTTGGAGCGCTTTCCGGCCTAAGGTGAAAAAGGAAATATCTTCCCATAAAAACTAGACAGAAGCATTCTCAGAAACTTACTCGTGATGTGTGTCCTCAACTAAAGGAGTAGAACCTTTCTATTCATAGAGAAGTTTTGAAACGCTCTTTTTGTGGAATCTCCAAGTGGATATTTGGCTAGTTTTGAGGATTTCGTTGGAAGCGGGAATTCATACAAATTGCAGACTGCAGCGTTCTGAGAAACATCTTTGTGATGTTTGTATTCAGGACAGAGAGTTGAACATTCCCTATCATAGAGCAGGTTGGAATCACTCCTTTTGTAGTATCTGGAAGTGGACATTTGGAGCGCTTTCAGGCCTATGTTGAAAAAGGAAATATCTTCCCATAAAAACTAGACACAAGCATTCTCAGAAACTTGTTTGTGATGTGTGCCCTCTACTGACAGAGTTGAACCTTTCTTTTCATAGAGCAGTTTTGAGACACTCTTTTTGTAGAATCTGCAAGAGGATATTTGCATAGCTTTGAGGATTTCGTGGGAAACGGGATTGTCTTCAGGTAAAATCTAGACAGAAGCATTCTCAGAAACTTCTTTGGGATGTTTGCATTCAAGTCACAGAGTAGAACATTCCCTTTGGTAGAGCAGGTTTGAAACCCTCTTTTTGTAGTATCTGGAAGTGGACATTTGGAGCGCTTTCAGGCCCATGTTGGAAAGGGAAATATCTTCCCGTAACAACTAGGCAGAAGCATTCCCAGAAACTTATTTGAGATGTGTGTACTCAACTAAGAGAATTGAACCACCGTTTTGAAGGAGCAGTTTTGAAACACTTTTTTTCTGGAATCTGCAAGAGGATATTTGCCTAGCTTTGAGGATTTCGTTGGAAACGGGATTGTCTTCAGATCAAATCTAGACAGAAGCATTCTCAGAAACTTCTTTGGGATGTTTGCATTCAAGTCACAGAGTAGAACATTCCCTTTGGTAGAGCAGGTTTGAAACACTCTTTTTGTAGTGTGTGTAAGTGGACATTTGGAGCGTTTTCCGGCCTAAGGTGAACAAGGAAATATCTTCCCATAAAAACTAGACAGAAGCATTCTCAGAAACTAGTTTCTGATGTGTGTCCTCAACTAACACAGTTGAACATTTCTTTAGACAGAACAGTTTTGAAACACTCTTTTTGTGGAATCTGCAAGTGGCTATTTGGCTAGATTTGAGGATTTCGTTGGAAACGGGATTACATATAAAAAGCAGACAGCAGCATTCTCAGAACGTTCTTTGTGATGATTGCATTCAAGTCACAGAATTGAACATTCCCTTTCACAGAGCAGGTTTGAAACACTCTTTTTGTAGTGTGTGTAAGTGGACATTTGGAGCACTTTCCGGGCTAAGGTGAAAAAGGAAATATCTTCCCATAAAAACTAGACAGAAGCATTCTCAGAAACTTACTCGTGATGTGTGTCCTCAATTAAAGGAGTAGAACCTTTCTTTTCATAGAGAAGTTTTGAAACGCTCTTTTTGTGGAATCTGCAAGTGGATATTTGGCTAGTTTGGAGGATTTCGTTGGAAGCGGGAATTCATACAAATTGCAGACTGCAGCGTTCTGAGAAACGTCTTTGTGATGTTTGTATTCAGGACACAGAGTTGAACATTCCCTGTCATAGAGCAGGTTGGAATCACTGCTTTTGTCATATCTGGAAGTGGACGTTTGGAGCGCTTTCAGGACTATGTTGGAAAAGGAAATATCCTCCCATAACAGCTAGACAGAAGCATTCTCAGAAACCTATTTGAGATGTGTGTACTCAACTAGGAGAATTGAACCACCGTTTTGAAGGAGCAGTTTTGAAACACTCGTTTTCTGGAATCTGCAAGTGGATATTAGGCTAGCTTTGGGGATTTCGCTGGAAGCGGGAATACATATAAAAAGCACACAGCAGCGTTCTGAGAAACTGCTTTCTGATGTTTGCATTCAAGTCAAAAGTTGAACACTCCCTTTCATAGAGCAGTCTTGAAACACCCCTTTTGTAGTATCTGGAACTGGACTTTTGGAGCGATTTCAGGGCTAAGGTGAAAAAGGAAATATCTTCCCATAAAAACTGGACAGAAGCATTCTCAGAAACTTGTTTATGCTGTATCTACTCAACTAACAAAGTTGAACCTTTCTTTTGATAGAGCAGTTTTGAAATGCTCTTTTTGTGGAATCTGCAAGTGGATATTTGGCTAGTTTTGAGGATTTCGCTGGAAGCGGGAATTCATACAAATTGCAGACTGCAGCGTTCTGAGAAACATCTTTGTGATGTTTGTATTCAGGACAGAGAGTTGAACATTCCCTATCATAGAGCAGGTTGGAATCACTCCTTTTGTAGTATCTGGAAGTGGACATTTGGAGCGCTTTCAGGCCTATGTTGAAAAAGGAAATATCTTCCCATAACAACTAGACACAAGCATTCTCAGAAACTTGTTTGTGATGTGTGCCCTCTACTGACAGAGTTGAACCTTTCTTTTCATAGAGCAGTTTTGAAACACTCTTTTTGTAGAATCTGCAAGAGGATATTTGCATAGCTTTGAGGATTTCGTGGGAAACGGGATTGTCTTCAGGTAAAATCTAGACAGAAGCATTCTCAGAAACTTCTTTGGGATGTTTGCATTCAAGTCACAGAGCAGAACATTCCCTTTGGTAGAGCAGGTTTGAATCACTCCTTTTGTAGTATCTGGAAGTGGACATTTGGAGCGCTTTCAGGCCCATGTTGGAAAGGGAAATATCTTCCCGTAACAACTAGGCAGAAGCATTCTCAGAAACTTATTTGAGATGTGTGTACTCAACTAAGAGAATTGAACCACCGTTTTGAAGGAGCCGTTTTGAAACACTCTTTTTCTGTAATCTGCAAGAGTATATTTGCCTAGCCTTGAGGATTTCGTTGGAAACGGGATTGTCTTCAGATAAAATCTAGACAGAAGCATTCTCAGAAACTTCTTTGGGATGTTTGCATTCAAGTCACAGAGTAGAACATTCCCTTTGGTAGAGCAGGTTTGAAACACTCTTTTTTTAGTATATGGAAGTGGACATTTTGAGCGCTTTCAGGCCTACGTTGGAAAAGGAAATATCTTCCCATAACAACTAGATAGAAGCATTCTCAGAAACTAGTTTCTGATGTGTGTCCTCAACTAACACAGTTGTACATTTCTTTATACAGAACAGTTTTGAAACACTCTTTTTGTGGAATCTGCAAGTGGATATTGGGCTAGATTTGAGGATTTCGTTGGAAACGGGATTACATATAAAAAGCAGTCAGCAGCATTCTCAGAAAGTTCTTTGTGATGATTGCATTCAAGTCACAGAATTGAACATTCCCTTTCATAGAGCAGGTTTGAAACACTCTTTTTGTAGTGTGTGTAAGTGGACATTTGGAGCGCTTTCCGGCCTAAGGTGAAAAAGGACATATCTTCCCATAATAACTAGACAGAAGCATTCTCAGAAACTTACTCGTGATGTGTGTCCTCAACTAAAGGAGTAGAACCTTTCTATTCATAGAGAAGTTTTGAAACGCTCTTTTTGTGGAATCTCCAAGTGGATATTTGGCTAGTTTTGAGGATTTCGTTGGAAGCGGGAATTCATACAAATTGCAGACTGCAGCGTTCTGAGAAACATCTTTGAAATGTTTGTATTCAAGACACAGAGATGAACATTCCCTATCATAGAGCATGTTGGAATCACTCCTTTTGTAGTATCTGGAAGTGGACATTTGGAGCGCTTTCAGGCCTATGTTGAAAAAGGAAATATCTTCCCATAACAACTAGACACAAGCATTCTCAGAAACTAGTTTCTGATGTGTGTCCTCAACTAACACAGTTGAACTTTTCTTTAGAGAGAACAGTTTTGAAACACTCTTTTTGTGGAATCTGCAAGTGGATATTGGGCTAGATTTGAGGATTTCGTTGGAAACGGGATTACATATAAAAAGCAGACAGCAGCATTCTCAGAAAGTTCTTTGTGATGATTGCATTCAAGTCACAGAATTGAACATTCCCTTTCACAGAGCAGGTTTGAAACACTCTTTTTGTAGTGTGTGTAAGTGGACATTTGGAGCGCTTTCCGGCCTAAGGTGAAAAAAGAAATATCGTCCCATAAAAACTAGACAGAAGCATTCTCAGAAACTTACTCGTGATGTGTGTCCTCAACTAAAGGAGTAGAACCTTCCTTTTCATAGATAAGTTTCGAAACGCTCTTTTTGTGGAATCTGCAAGTGGATATTTGGCTAGTTTTGAGGATTTCGTTGGAAGCGGGAATTCATACAAATTGCAGACTGCAGCGTTCTGAGAAACTGCTTTCTGATGTTTGCATTCAAGTCAAAAGTTGAACACTCCCTTTCATAGAGCAGTCCTGAAACACTCCTTTTGTAGTATCTGGAACTGGACTTTTGGAGCGCTTTCAGGGCTAAGGTGAAAAAGGAAATATCTTCCCATAAAAACTGGACAGAAGCATTCTCAGAAACTTGTTTATGCTGTATCTACTCTACTAACAAAGTTGAACCTTTCTTTTGATAGAGCAGTTTTGAAATGCTCTTTTTGTGGAATCTGCAAGTGGATATTTGGCTAGATTTGAGGATTTCGTTGGAAGCGGGAATTCATACAAATTGCAGACTGCAGCGTTCTGAGAAACATCTTTGTGATGTTTGTATTCAGGACACAGAGTTGAACATTCCCTATCATAGAGCAGGTTGGAATCACTCCTTTTGTAGTATCTGGAAGTGGACATTTGGAGCGCTTTCAGGCCTATGTTGAAAAAGGAAATATCTTCCCATAACAACTAGACACAAGCATTCTCAGAAACTTGTTTGTGATGTGTGCCATCTACTGACAGAGTTGAACCTTTCTTTTCATAGAGCAGTTTTGAAACACTCTTTTTGTAGAATCTGCAAGAGGATATTTGCATAGCTTTGAGGATTTCGTGGGAAACGGGATTGTCTTCAGGTAAAATCTAGACAGAAGCATTCTCAGAAACTTCTTTGGGATGTTTGCATTCAAGTCACAGAGTAGAACATTCCCTTTGGTAGAGCAGGTTTCAAACACTCTTTTTGTAGTATCTGGAAGTGGACATTTGGAGCGCTTTCAGGCCTATGTTGGAAAGGGAAATATCTTCCCGTAACAACTAGGCAGAAGCATTCTCAGAAACTTGTTTGTGATGTGTGCAATCTACTGACACAGTTGAACCTTTCTTTTCATAGAGCAGTTTCGAAACACTCTTTTTGTAGAATCTGCAAGAGGATATTTGCATAGCTTTGAGGATTTCGTGGGAAACGGGATTGTCTTCAGATAAAATCTAGACAGAAGCATTCTCAGAAACTTCTTCGGGATGTTTGCATTCAAGTCACAGAGTAGAACATTCCCTTTGGTAGAGCAGGTTTGAAACACTCTTTTTGTAGTGTGTGTAAGTGGACATTTGGAGCGCATTCAGGCCTACGTTGGAAAAGGAAATATCTTCCCATAACAACTAGACAGAAGCATTCTCAGAAACTAGTTTCTGATGTGTGTCCTCAACTAACACAGTTGAACATTTCTTTAGACAGAACAGTTTTGAAACACTCTTTTTGTGGAATCTGCAAGTGGCTATTTGGCTAGATTTGAGGATTTCGTTGGAAACGGGATTACATATAAAAAGCAGACAGCAGCATTCTCAGAAAGTTCTTTGTGATGATTGCATTCAAGTCACAGAATTGAACATTCCCTTTCACAGAGCAGGTTTGAAACACTCTTTTTGTAGTGTGTGTAAGTGGACATTTGGAGCACTTTCCGGCCTAAGGTGAAAAAGGAAATATCTTCCCATAAAAACTAGACAGAAGCATTCTCAGAAACTTACTCGTGATGTGTGTACTCAAGTAAAGGAGTAGAACCTTTCTTTTCATAGAGAAGTTTTGAAACGCTCTTTTTGTGGAATCTGCAAGTGGATATTTGGCTAGTTTTGAGGATTTCGTTGGAAGCGGGAATTCATACAAATTGCAGACTGCAGCGTTCTGAGAAACATCTCTGTGATGTTTGTATTCAGGACACAGATTTGAACATTCCCTATCATAGAGCAGGTTGGAATCACTCCTTTTGTAGTATCTGGAAGTGGACATTTGGAGCGCTTTCAGGCCTATGTTGAAAAAGGAAATATCTTCCCATAACAACTAGACACAAGCATTCTCAGAAACTTATTTGTGATGTGTGTACTCAACTAAGAGAATTGAACCACCGTTTTCAAGGAGCAGTTTTGAAACGCTCTTTTTCTGGAATCTGCAAGTGGATATTTGGCTAGCTTTGGGGATTTCGCTGGAAGCGGGAATACATATAAAAAGCACACAGCAGCGTTCTGAGAAACTGCTTTCTGATGTTTGCATTCAAGTCAAAAGTTGAACACTCCCTTTCATAGAGCAGTCTTGAAACACCCCTTTTGTAGTATCTGGAACTGGACTTTTGGAGCGATTTCAGGGCTAAGGTGAAAAAGGAAATATCTTCCCATAAAAACTGGACAGAAGCATTCTCAGAAACTTGGTTATGCTGTATCTACTCAACTAACAAAGTTGAACCTTTCTTTTGATAGAGCAGTTTTGAAATGGTCTTTTTGTGGAATCTGCAAGTGGATATTTGGCTAGTTTTGAGGATTTCGTTGGAAGCGGGAATTCATACAAATTGCAGACTGCAGCGTTCTGAGAAACATCTTTGTGATGTTTGTATTCAGGACAGAGAGTTGAACATTCCCTATCATAGAGCAGGTTGGAATCACTCCTTTTGTAGTATCTGGAAGTGGACATTTGGAGCGCTTTCAGGCCTATTTTGGAAAGGGAAATATCTTCCCGTAACAACTATGCAGAAGCATTCTCAGAAACTTGTTTGTGATGTGTGCCCTCTACTGACAGAGTTGAACCTTTCTTTTCATAGAGCAGTTTTGAAACACTCTTTTTGTAGAATCTGCAAGAGGATATTTGCATAGCTTTGAGGATTTCGTGGGAAACGGGATTGTCTTCAGGTAAAATCTAGACAGAAGCATTCTCAGAAACTTCTTTGGGATGTTTGCATTCAAGTCACAGAGTAGAACATTCCCTTTGGTAGAGCAGGTTTGAAACACTCTTTTTATAGTATCTGGAAGTGGACATTTGGAGCGCTTTCAGGCCTATGTTGGAAAGGGAAATATACTTCCCGTAACAACTAGGCAGAAGCATTCTCAGAAACTTATTTGAGATGTGTGTACTCAACTAAGAGAATTGAACCACCGTTTTGAAGGAGCAGTTTTGAAACACTCTTTTTCTGGAATCTGCAAGAGTATATCTTCCTAGCTTTGTGGATTTCGTTGGAAACGGGATTGTCTTCAGATAAAATCTAGACAGAAGCATTCTCAGAAACTTCTTTGGGATGTTTGCATTCAAGTCACAGAGTAGAACATTCCCTTTGGTAGAGCAGGTTTGAAACACTCTTTTTTTAGTATATGGAAGTGGACATTTGGATCGCTTTCAGGCCTACGTTGGAAAAGGAAATATCTTCCCATAACAACTAGACAGAAGTATTCTCAGAAACTAGTTTCTGATGTGTGTCCTCAACTAACACAGTTGAACTTTTCTTTAGACAGAACAGTTTTGATACACTCGTTTTGTGGAACCTTCAAGTGGCTATTTTGGCTAGATTTGAGGATTTCGTTGGAAACGGGATTACATATAAAAAGCAGTCAGCAGCATTCTCAGAAAGTTCTTTGTGATGATTGTATTCAAGTCACAGAATTGAACATTCCCTTTCATAGAGCAGGTTTGAAACACTCTTTTTGTAGTGTGTGTAAGTGGACATTTGGAGCGCTTTCCGGCCTAAGGTGAAAAAGGACATATCTTCCCATAAAAACTAGAGAGAAGCATTCTCAGGAACTTACTCGTGATGTGTGTCCTCAACTAAAGGAGTAGAACCTTTCTTTTCATAGAGAAGTTTTGAAACGCTCTTTTTGTGGAATCTGCAAGTGGATATTTGGCTAGTTTTGAGGATTTCGTTGGAAGCGGGAATTCATACAAATTGCAGACTGCAGCGTTCTGAGAAACATCTTTGTGATGTTTGTATTGAAGACACAGAGATGAACATTCCCTATCATAGAGCATGTTGGAATCACTCCTTTTGTAGTATCTGGAAGTGGACATTTGGAGCGCTTTCAGGCCTATGTTGAAAAAGGAAATATCTTCCCATAACAGCTAGACACAAGCATTCTCAGAAACTTATTTGAGATGTGTGTACTCAACTAAGAGAATTGAACCACCGTTTTGAAGGAGCAGTTTTGAAACACTCTTATTCTGGAATCTGCAAGTGGATATTTGGCTAGCTTTGGGGATTTCGCTGGAAGCGGGAATACATATAAAAAGCACACAGCAGCGTTCTGAGAAACTGCTTTCTGATGTTTGCATTCAAGTCAAAAGTTGAACACTCCCTTTCATAGAGCAGTCCTGAAACACTCCTTTTGTAGTATCTGGAACTGGACTTTTGGAGCGCTTTCAGGGCTAAGGTGAAAAAGGAAATATCTTCCCATAAAAACTGGACAGAAGCATTCTCAGAAACTTGTTTATGCTGTATCTACTCAACTAACAAAGTTGAACCTTTCTTTTGATAGAGCAGTTTTGAAATGCTCTTTTTGTGGAATCTGCAAGTGGATATTTGGCTAGTTTTGAGGATTTCGTTGGAAGCTGGAATTCATACAAATTGCAGACTGCAGCGTTCTGAGAAACATCTTTGTGATGTTTGTATTCAGGACAGAGAGTTGAACATTCCCTATCATAGAGCAGGTTGGAATCACTCCTTTTGTAGTATCTGGAAGTGGACATTTGGAGCGCTTTCAGGCCTATGTTGAAAAAGGAAATATCTTCCCATAACAACTAGACACAAGCATTCTCAGAAACTTGTTTGTGATGTGTGCCCTCTACTGACAGAGTTGAACCTTTCTTTTCATAGAGCAGTTTTGAAACACTCTTTTTGTAGAATCTGCAAGAGGATATTTGCATAGCTTTGAGGATTTCGTGGGAAACGGGATTGTCTTCAGGTAAAATCTAGACAGAAGCATTCTCAGAAACTTCCTTGGGATGTTTGCATTCAAGTCACAGAGTAGAACATTCCCTTTGGTAGAGCAGGTTTGAAACACTCTTTTTGTAGTATCTGGAAGTGGACATTTGGAGCGCTTTCAGGCCTATGTTGGAAAGGGAAATATCTTCCCGTAACAACTAGGCAGAAGCATTCTCAGAAACTTATTTGAGATGTGTGTACTCAACTAAGAGAATTGAAGCACCGTTTTGAAGGAGCAGTTTTGAAACACTCTTTTTCTGGAATCTGCAAGTGGATATTTGGCTAGCTTTGGGGATTTCGCTGGAAGCGGGAATACATATAAAAAGCACACAGCAGCGTTCTGAGAAACTGCTTTCTGATGTTTGCATTCAAGTCAAAAGTTGAACACTCCCTTTCATAGAGCAGTCTTGAAACACCCCTTTTGTAGTATCTGGAACTGGAAATTTGGAGCGCTTTCAGGGCTAAGGTGAAAAAGGAAATATCTTCCCATAAAAACTGGACAGAAGCATTCTCAGAAACTTGTTTATGCTGTATCTACTCAACTAACAAAGTTGAACCTTTCTTTTGATAGAGCAGTTTTGAAATGCTCTTTTTGTGGAATCTGCAAGTGGATATTTGGCTAGTTTTGAGGATTTCGCTGGAAGCGGGAATTCATACAAATTGCAGACTGCAGCGTTCTGAGAAACAACTTTGTGATGCTTGTATTCAGGACACAGAGTTGAACATTCCCTATCATAGAGCAGGTTGGAATCACTCCTTTTGTAGTATCTGGAAGTGGACATTTGGAGCGCTTTCAGGCCTATGTTGAAAAAGGAAATATCTTCCCATAACAACTAGACACAAGCATTCTCAGAAACTTATTTGAGATGTGTGTACTCAACTAAGAGAATTGAACCACCGTTTTGAAGGAGCAGTTTTGAAACACTCTTTTTCTGGAATCTGCAAGTGGATATTTGGCTAGCTTTGGGGGATTTCGCTGGAAGCGGGAATACATATAAAAAGCACACAGCAGCGTTCTGAGAAACTTCTTTCTGATGTTCGCATTCAAGTCAAAAGTTGAACACTCCCTTTCATAGAGCAGTCTTGAAACTCCCCTTTTGTGGTATCTGGAAGTGGACATTTGGAGTGCTTTCAGGGCTAAGGTGAAAAAGGAAATATCTTCCCATAAAAACTGGACAGAAGCATTCTCAGAAACTTGTTTATGCTGTATCTACTCAGCTAACAAAGTTGAACCTTTCTTTTGATAGAGCAGTTTTGAAATGCTCTTTTTGTGGAGTCTGCAAGTGGATATTTGGTTAGTTTTGAGGATTTCTTTGGAAGCGGGAATTCATACAAATTGCAGACTGCAGCGTTCTGAGAAACATCTTTGTGATGTTTGTATTCAGGACACAGAGTTGAACATTCCCTATCATAGAGCAGGTTGGAATCACTCCTTTTGTAGTATCTGGAAGTGGACATTTGGAGCGCTTTCAGGCCTATGTTGAAAAAGGAAATATCTTCCCATAACAAGTAGACACAAGCATTCTCAGAAACTTGTTTGTGATGTGTGCCCTCTACTGACAGAGTTTAACCTTTCTTTTCATAGAGCAGTTTTGAAACACTCTTTTTGTAGAATCTGCAAGAGGATATTTCCATAGCTTTGAGGATTTCGTGGGAAACGGGATTGTCTTCAGGTAAAATCTAGACAGGAGCGTTCTCAGAAACTTCTTTGGGATGTTTGCATTCAAGTCACAGAGTAGAACATTCCCTTTGGTAGAGCAGGTTTGAAACACTCTTTTTGTAGTATCTGGAAGTGGACATTTGGAGCGCATTATGGCCCATGTTGGAAAGGGAAATATCTTCCCGTAACAACTAGGCAGAAGCATTCTCAGAAACTTATTTGAGATGTTTGTACTCAACTAACAGAATTGAACCACCCTTTTGAAGGAGCAGTTTTGAAACACTCTTTTTCTGGAATCTGCAAGAGTATATTTGCCTAGCTTTGAGGATTTCGTTGGAAACCGGATTGTCTTCAGATCAAATCTAGATAGAAGCATTCTCAGAAACTTCTTTGGGATGCTTGCATTCCAGTCACAGAGTAGAACATTCCCTTTGGTAGAGCAGGTTTGAAACACTCTTTTTGTAGTATCTGGAAGTGGACATTTGGAGCGCTTTCAGGCCTACGTTGGAAAAGGAAATATCTTCCCATAACAACTAGACAGAAGCATTCTCAGAAACTAGTTTCTGATGTGTGTCCTCAGCTAACACAGTTGAACTTTTCTTTAGACAGAACAGTTTTGAAACACTCTTTTTGTGGAATCTGCAAGTGGCTATTTAGCTAGATTTGAGGATTTCGTTGGAAACGGGATTACATATAAAAAGCAGACAGCAGCATTCTCAGAAAGTTCTTTGTGATGATTGCATTCAAGTCACAGAATTGAACATTCCCTTTCACAGAGCAGGTTTGAAACACTCTTTTTGTAGTGTGTGTAGGTGGACATTTGGAGTGCTTTCCGGCCTAAGGTGAAAAAGGAAATATCTTCCCATAAAAACTAGACAGAAGCATTCTCAGAAACTTACTCGTGATGTGTGTCCTCAACTAAAGGAGTAGAACCTTTCTTTTCATAGAGAAGTTTTGAAACGCTCTTTTTGTGGAATCTGCAAGTGGATATTTGGCTAGTTTGGAGGATTTCGTTGGAAGCGGGAATTCATACAAATTGCAGACTACAGCGTTCTGAGAAACATCTTTGTGATGCTTGTATTCAGGACACAGAGTTGAACATTCCCTATCATAGAGCAGGTTGGAATCACTCCTTTTGTAGTATCTGGAAGTGGACATTTGGAGCGCTTTCAGGCCTATGTTGAAAAAGGAAATATCTTCCCATAACAACTAGACACAAGCATTCTCAGAAACTTATTTTTGATGTGTGTACTCAACTAAGAGAATTGAACCACCGTTTTCAAGGAGCAGTTTTGAAACGCTCTTTTTCTGGAATCTGCAAGTGGATATTTGGCTAGCTTTGGGGATTTCGCTGGAAGCGGGAATACATATAAAAAGCACACAGCAGCGTTCTGAGAAACTGCTTTCTGATGTTTGCATTCAAGTCAAAAGTTGAACACTCCCTTTCATAGAGCAGTCTTGAAACACCCCTTTTGTAGTATCGGGAACTGGACATTTGGAGCGCTTTCAGGGCTAAGGTGAAAAAGGAAATATCTTCCCATAAAAACTGGACAGAAGCATTCTCAGAAACTTGTTTATGCTGTATCTACTCAACTAACAAAGTTGAACCTTTCTTTTGATAGAGCAGTTTTGAAATGCTCTTTTTGTGGAATCTGCAAGTGGATATTTGGCTAGTTTTGAGGATTTCGCTGGAAGCGGGAATTCATACAAATTGCAGACTGCAGCGTTCTGAGAAACATCTTTGTGATGTTTGTATTCAGGACAGAGAGTTGAACATTCCCTATCATAGAGCAGGTTGGAATCACTCCTTTTGTAGTATCTGGAAGTGGACATTTGGAGCGCTTTCAGGCCTATGTTGAAAAAGGAAATATCTTCCCATAACAACTAGACACAAGCATTCTCAGAAACTTGTTTGTGATGTGTGCCCTCTACTGACAGAGTTGAACCTTTCTTTTCATAGAGCAGTTTTGAAACACTCTTTTTGTAGAATCTGCAAGAGGATATTTGCATAGCTTTGAGGATTTCGTGGGAAACGGGATTGTCTTCAGGTAAAATCTAGACAGAAGCATTCTCAGAAACTTCTTTGGGATGTTTGCATTCAAGTCACAGAGTAGAACATTCCCTTTGGTAGAGCAGGTTTGAAACACTCTTTTTGTAGTATCTGGAAGTGGACATTTGGAGCGCTTTCAGGCCTATGTTGGAAAAGGAAATATCTTCCCATAACAACTAGACAGAAGCATTCTCAGAAACCAGTTTCTGATGTGGGTCCTCAACTAACAGAGTTGAACCTTTCTTTTGACAGACCAGTTTTGAAACACTCTTTTTGAGGAATCTGCAAGTGGATATTTGGCTAGATTTGAGGATTTCGTTGGAAACGGGATTACGTATAAAAAGCAGACAGCAGCATTCTCAGAAACTTCTTTGTGGTGATTGCATTCAAGTCACAGAACTGAATATTCCGTTTCACAGAGCAGGTTTGAAACACTCTTTTGTAGTGTCTGTAAGTGGACATTTGGAGCGCTTTCCGGCCTCAGGTGAAAAAGGAAATATCTTCCCATAAAAACTAGACAGAAGCATTCTCAGAAACTTACTCGTGATGGGTGTCCTCAACTAAAGGAGTAGAACCTTTCTTTTCATAGAGAAGTTTTGAAACGCTCTTTTTGTGGAATCTGCAAGTGGATATTTGGCTAGTTTTGAGGATTTCGTTGGAATCGGGAATTCATACAAATTGCAGACTGCAGCGTTCTGAGAAACATCTTTGTGATGTTTGTATTCAGGACACAGAGTTGAACATTCCCTATCACAGAGCAGGTTGGAATCACTCCTTTTGTCGTATCTGGAAGTGGACGTTTGGAGCGCTTTCAGGCCTATGTTGGAAAAGGAAATATCCTCCCATAACAGCTAGACAGAAGCATTCTCAGAAACCTATTTGAGATGTGTGTACTCAACTAGGAGAATTGAGCCACCGTTTTGACGGAGCAGTTTTGAAACACTCGTTTTCTGGAATCTGCAAGTGGATATTTGGCTAGCTTTGGGGATTTCGCTGGAAGCGGGAATACATATAAAAAGCACACAGCAGCGTTCTGAGAAACTGCTTTCTGATGTTTGCATTCAAGTCAAAAGTTGAACACTCCCTTTCATAGAGCAGGCCTGAAACACCCCTTTTGTAGTATCTGGAAGTGGACATTTGGAGCGCTTTCAGGGCTAAGGTGAAAAAGGAAATATCTTCCCATAAAAACTGGACAGAAGCATTCTCAGAAACTTGTCCATGCTGTATCTACTCAACTAACAAAGTTGAACCTTTCGTTTGATAGAGCAGTTTTGAAATGCTCTTTTTCTGGAATCTGGAAGTGTATATTTGGCTAGTTTTGAGGATTTCGTTGGAAGCGGGAATTCATACAAATTGCAGACTGCAGCGTTCTGAGAAACATCTTTGTGATGTTTGTATTCAAGACACAGAGATGAACATTCCCTATCATAGAGCATGTTGGAATCACTCCTTTTGTAGTATCTGGAAGTGGACATTTGGAGCTTTTTCAGGCCTATGTTGAAAAAGGAAATATCTTCCCATAAAAACTAGACACAAGCATTCTCAGAAACTTATTTGAGATGTGTGTACTCAACTAAGAGAATTGAACCACCGTTTTGAAGGAGCAGTTTTGAAACTCTCTTTTTCTGGAATCTGCAAGTGGATATTTGGCTAGCTTTGGGGATTTCGCTGGAAGCGGGAATACATATAAAAAGCACACAGCAGCGTTCTGAGAAACTGCTTTCTGATGTTTGCATTCAAGTCAAAAGTTGAACACTCCCTTTCATAGAGCAGTCTTGAAACACCCCTTTTGTAGTATCTGGAACTGGACTTTTGGAGCGATTTCAGGGCTAAGGTGAAAAAGGAAATATCTTCCCATAAAAACTGGACAGAAGCATTCTCAGAAACTTGGTTATGCTGTATCTACTCAACTAACAAAGTTGAACCTTTCTTTTGATAGAGCAGTTTTGAAATGGTCTTTTTGTGGAATCTGCAAGTGGATATTTGGCTAGTTTTGAGGATTTCGTTGGAAGCGGGAATTCATACAAATTGCAGACTGCAGCGTTCTGAGAAACATCTTTGTGATGTTTGTATTCAGGACACAGAGTTGAACATTCCCTATCATAGAGCAGGTTGGAATCACTCCTTTTGTAGTATCTGGAAGTGGACATTTGGAGCGCTTTCAGGCCTATGTTGGAAAAGGAAATATCTTCCCATAACAACTAGACAGAAGCATTCTCAGAAACTTATTTGAGATGTGTGTACTCAACTAAGAGAATTGAACCACCGTTTTGAAGGAGCAGTTTTGAAACACTCTTTTTCTGGAATCTGCAAGTGGATATTTGGCTAGCTTTGGGGATTTCGCTGGAGGCGGGAATACATATAAAAAGCATACAGCAGCGTTCTGAGAAACTGCTTTCTGATGTTTGCATTCAAGTCAAAAGTTGAACACTCCCTTTCATAGAGCAGTCCTGAAACACTCCTTTTGTAGTATCTGGAACTGGACTTTTGGAGCGCTTTCAGGGCTAAGGTGAAAAAGGAAATATCTTCCCATAAAAACTGGACAGAAGCATTCTCAGAAACTTACTCGTATTGTGTGTCCTCAACTAAAGGAGTAGAACCTTTCTTTTCATAGAGAAGTTTTGAAACGCTCTTTTTGTGGAATCTGCAAGTGGATATTTGGCTAGTTTTGAGGATTTCGTTGGAAGCGGGAATTCATACAAATTGCAGACTGCAGCGTTCTGAGAAACATCTTTGTGATGTTTGTATTCAGGACACAGAGTTGAACATTCCCTATCATAGAGCAGGTTTGAATCATTCCTTTTGTAGTATCTGGAAGTGGACATTTGGAGCGCTTTCAGGCCTATGTTGGAAAAGGAAATATCTTCCCATAACAACTAGACAGAAGCATTCTCAGAAACTTATTTGAGATGTGTGTACTCAACTAAGAGAATTGAACCACCGTTTTGAAGGAGCAGTTTTGAAACACTCTTTTTCTGGAATCTGCAAGTGGATATTTGGCTAGCTTTGGGGATTTCGCTGGAAGCGGGAATACATATAAAAAGCACACAGCAGCGTTCTGAGAAACTGCTTTCTGATGTTTGCATTCAAGTCAAAAGTTGAACACTCCCTTTCATAGAGCAGTCCTGAAACACTCCTTTTGTAGTATCTGGAACTGGACTTTTGGAGCGCTTTCAGGGCTAAGGTGAAAAAGGAAATATCTTCCCATAAAAACTGGACAGAAGCATTCTCAGAAACTTGTTTATGCTGTATCTACTCAACTAACAAAGTTGAACCTTTCTTTTGATAGAGCAGTTTTGAAATGCTCTTTTTGTGGAATCTGCAAGTGGATATTTGGCTAGTTTTGAGGATTTCGTTGGAAGCGGGAATTCATACAAATTGCAGACTGCAGCGTTCTGAGAAACATCTTTGTGATGTTTGTATTCAGGACAGAGAGTTGAACATTCCCTATCATAGAGCAGGTTGGAATCACTCCTTTTGTAGTATCTGGAAGTGGACATTTGGAGCGCTTTCAGGCCTATGTTGAAAAAGGAAATATCTTCCCATAACAACTAGACACAAGCATTCTCAGAAACTTGTTTGTGATGTGTGCCCTCTACTGACAGAGTTGAACCTTTCTTTTCATAGAGCAGTTTTGAAACACTCTTTTTGTAGAATCTGCAAGAGGATATTTGCATAGCTTTGAGGATTTCGTGGGAAACGGGATTGTCTTCAGGTAAAATCTAGACAGAAAGCATTCTCAGAAACTTCTTTGGGATGTTTGCATTCAAGTCACAGAGTAGAACATTCCCTTTGGTAGAGCAGGTTTGAAACACTCTTTTTGTAGTATCTGGAAGTGGACATTTGGAGCGCTTTCAGGCCTATGTTGGAAAGGGAAATATCTTCCGGTAACAACTAGGCAGAAGCATTCTCAGAAACTTATTTGAGATGTGTGTACTCAACTAAGAGAATTGAACCACCGTTTTGAAGGAGCAGTTTTGAAACACTCTTTTTCTGGAATCTGCAAGAGGATATTTGCCTAGCTCTGAGGATTTCGTTGGAAACGGGATTGTGTTCAGATCAAATCTAGACAGAAGCATTCTCAGAAACTTCTTTGGGATGTTTGCATTCAAGTCACAGAGTAGAACATTCCCTTTGGTAGAGCAGGTTTGAAACACTCTTTTTGTAGTGTGTGTAAGTGGACATTTGGAGCGCTTTCTGGCCTACGTTGGAAAAGGAAATATCTTCCCATAACAACTAGACAGAAGCATTCTCAGAAACTAGTTTCTGATGTGTGTCCTCAACTAACACAGTTGAACATTTCTTTAGACAGAACAGTTTTGAAACACTCTTTTTGTGGAATCTGCAAGTGGATATTTGGCTAGATTTGAGGATTTCGTTGGAAACGGGATTACATATAAAAAGCAGACAGCAGCATTCTCAGAAACTTCTTTGTGATGATTGCATTCAAGTCACAGAATTGAACATTCCTTTTCACAGAGCAGGTTTGAAACACTCTTTTTCTAGTGTGTGTAAGTGGACATTTGGAGCGCTTTCCGGCCTAAGGTGAACAAGGAAATATCTTCCCATAAAAACTAGACAGAAGCATTCTCAGAAACTTACTCGTGATGTGTGTCCTCAACTAAAGGAGTAGAACCTTTCTTTTCATAGAGAAGTTTTGAAACGCTCTTTTTGTGGAATCTGCAAGTGGATATTTGGCTAGTTTGGAGGATTTCGTTGGAAGCCGGAATTCATACAAATTGCAGACTGCAGCGTTCTGAGAAACATCTTTGTGATGTTTGTATTCAGGACACAGAGTTGAACGTTCCCTATCATAGAGCAGGTTTGAATCACTCCTTTTGTAGTATCTGGAAGTGGACATTTGGAGCGCTTTCCGGCCTCAGGTGAAAAAGGAAATATCTTCCCATAAAAACTAGACAGAAGCATTCTCAGAAACTTACTCGTGATGTGTGTCCTCAACTAAAGGGGTAGAACCTTTCTTTTGATAGAGCAGTTTTGAAACACTCTTTTTGTAGAATCTGCAAGTGGATATTTTGATAGCTTTGTGGATTTCGTTGGAAACGGGAATATCTTCATATAAAATCTAGAGAGAAGCATTCTCAGAAACTTGTTTATGCTGTATCTACTCAACTAACAAAGTTGAACCTTTCTTTTGATAGAGCAGTTTTGAAATGCTCTTTTTGTGGAATCTGCAAGTGGATATTTGGCTAGTTTTGAGGATTTCGTTGGAAGCGGGAATTCATACAAACTGCAGACTGCAGCGTTCTGAGAAACATCTTTGTGATGTTTGTATTCAGGACAGAGAGTTGAACATTCCCTATCATAGAGCAGGTTGGAATCACTCCTTTTGTAGTATCTGGAAGTGGACATTTGGAGCGCTTTCTGGCCTATGTTGAAAAAGGAAATATCTTCCCATAACAACTAGACACAAGCATTCTCAGAAACTTGTTTGTGATGTGTGCCCTCTACTGACAGAGTTGAACCTTTCTTTTCATAGAGCAGTTTTGAAACACTCTTTTTGTAGAATCTGCAAGAGGATATTTGCATAGCTTTGAGGATTTCGTGGGAAACGGGATTGTCTTCAGGTAAAATCTAGACAGAAGCATTCTCAGAAACTTCTTTGGGATGTTTGCATTCAAGTCACAGAGTAGAACATTCCCTTTGGTAGAGCAGGTTTGAAACACTCTTTTTGTAGTATCTGGAAGTGGACATTTGGAGCGCTTTCAGGCCTATGTTGGAAAGGGAAATATCTTCCGGTAACAACTAGGCAGAAGCATTCTCAGAAACTTATTTGAGATGTGTGTACTCAACTAAGAGAATTGAAGCACCGTTTTGAAGGAGCAGTTTTGAAACACTCTTTTTCTGGAATCTGCAAGAGGATATTTGCCTAGCTTTGAGGATTTCGTTGGAAACGGGATTGTGTTCAGATCAAATCTAGACAGAAGCATTCTCAGAAACTTCTTTGGGATGTTTGCATTCAAGTCACAGAGTAGAACATTCCCTTTGGTAGAGCAGGTGTGAAACACTCTTTTTTTAGTATATGGAAGTGGACATTTGGAGCGCTTTCAGGCCTACGTTGGAAAAGGAAATATCTTCCCATAACAACTAGACAGAAGCATTCTCAGAAACTAGTTTCTGATGTGTGTCCTCAACTAACACAGTTGAACATTTCTTTAGACAGAACAGTTTTGAAACTCTCTTTTTGTGGAATCTGCAAGTGGCTATTTGGCTAGATTTGAGGATTTCGTTGGAAACGGGATTACATATAAAAAGCAGACAGCAGCATTCTCAGAAAGTTCTTTGTGATGATTGCATTCAAGTCACAGAATTGAACATTCCCTTTCACAGAGCAGGTTTGAAACACTCTTTTTGTAGTGTGTGTAAGTGGACATTTGGAGCACTTTCCGGCCTAAGGTGAAAAAGGAAATATCTTCCCTTAAAAACTAGACAGAAGCACTCTCAGAAACTTACTCGTGATGTGTGTCCTCAACTAAAGGAGTAGAACCTTTCTTTTCATAGAGAAGTTTTGAAACGCTCTTTTTGTGGAATCTGCAAGTGGATATTTGGCTAGTTTGGAGGATTTCGTTGGAAGCGGGAATTCATACAAATTGCAGACTGCAGCGTTCTGAGAAACATCTTTGTGATGTTTGTATTCAGGACACAGAGTTGAACATTCCCTATCATAGAGCAGGTTGGAATCACTCCTTTTGTAGTATCTGGAAGTGGACATTTGGAGCGCTTTCAGGCCTATGTTGGAAAAGGAAATATCTTCCCATAACAACTAGACAGAAGCATTCTCAGAAACTTATTTGAGATGTGTGTACTCAACTAAGAGAATTGAACCACCGTTTTGAAGGAGCAGTTTTGAAACACTCTTTTTCTGGAATCTGCAAGTGGATATTTGGCTAGCTTTGGGGATTTCGCTGGAAGCGGGAATACATATAAAAAGCACACAGCAGCGTTCTGAGAAACTTCTTTCTGATGTTTGCATTCAAGTCAAAAGTTGAACACTCCCTTTCATAGAGCAGTCCTGAAACACTCCTTTTGTAGTATCTGGAACTGGACTTTTGGAGCGCTTTCAGGGCTAAGGTGAAAAAGGAAATATCTTCCCATAAAAACTGGACAGAAGCATTCTCAGAAACTTGTTTATGCTGTATCTACTCTACTAACAAAGTTGAACCTTTCTTTTGATAGAGCAGTTTTGAAATGCTCTTTTTGTGGAATCTGCAAGTGGATATTTGGCTAGATTTGAGGATTTCGTTGGAAGCGGGAATTCATACAAATTGCAGACTGCAGCGTTCTGAGAAACATCTTTGTGATGTTTGTATTCAGGACACAGAGTTGAACATTCCCTATCATAGAGCAGGTTGGAATCACTCCTTTTGTAGTATCTGGAAGTGGACATTTGGAGCGCTTTCAGGCCTATGTTGAAAAAGGAAATATCTTCCCATAACAACTAGACACAAGCATTCTCAGAAACTTGTTTGTGATGTGTGCCCTCTACTGACAGAGTTGAACCTTTCTTTTCATAGAGCAGTTTTGAAACACTCTTTTTGTAGAATCTGCAAGAGGATATTTGCATAGCTTTGAGGATTTCGTGGGAAACGGGATTGTCTTCAGGTAAAATCTAGACAGAAGCATTCTCAGAAACTTCTTTGGGATGTTTGCATTCAAGTCACAGAGTAGAACATTCCCTTTGGTAGAGCAGGTTTGAAACCCTCTTTTTGTAGTATCTGGAAGTGGACATTTGGAGCGCTTTCAGGCCCATGTTGGAAAGGGAAATATCTTCCCGTAACAACTAGGCAGAAGCATTCTCAGAAACTTATTTGAGATGTGTGTACTCAACTAAGAGAATTGAACCACCGTTTTGAAGGAGCAGTTTTGAAACACTCTTTTTCTGTAATCTGCAAGAGTATATTTGCCTAGCCTTGAGGATTTCGTTGGAAACGGGATTGTCTTCAGGTAAAATCTAGACAGAAGCATTCTCAAAAACTTCTTTGGGATGTTTGCATTCAAGTCACAGAGTAGAACATTCCCTTTGGTAGAGCAGGTTTGAAACACTCTTTTTTTAGTATATGGAAGTGGACATTTGGAGTGCTTTCAGGCCTACGCTGGAAAAGGAAATATCTTCCCATAACAACTAGACAGAAGCATTCTCAGGAACTAGTTTCTGATGTGTGTCCTCAACTAACACAGTTGAACTTTTCTTTAGACAGAACAGTTTTGAAACACTCTTTTTGTGGAATCTGCAAGTGGATATTTGGCTAGATTTGAGGATTTCGTTGGAAACGGGATTACATATAAAAAGCAGACAGCAGCATTCTCAGAAAGTTCTTTGTGATGATTGCATTCAAGTCACAGAATTGAACATTCCCTTTCACAGAGCAGGTTTGAAACCCTCTTTTTGTAGTGTGTGTAAGTGGACATTTGGAGCGCTTTCCGGCCTAAGGTGAAAAAGGAAATATCTTCCCATAAAAACTAGACAGAAGCATTCTCAGAAACTTACTCGTGATGTGTGTCCTCAACTAAAGGAGTAGAACATTTCTATTCATAGAGAAGTTTTGAAACGCTCTTTTTGTGGAATCTCCAAGTGGATATTTGGCTAGTTTTGAGGATTTCGTTGGAAGCGGGAATTCATACAAATTGCAGACTGCAGCGTTCTGAGAATCATCTTTGTGATGTTTGTATTCAGGACACAGAGATGAACATTCCCTATCATAGAGTAGGTTGGAATCACTCCTTTTGTAGTATCTGGAAGTGGACATTTGGAGCGCTTTCAGTCCTATGTTGAAAAAGGAAATATCTTCCCATAACAACTAGACACAAGCATTCTCAGAAACTTGTTTGTGATGTGTGCCCTCTACTGACAGAGTTGAACCTTTCTTTTCATAGAGCAGTTTTGAAACACTCTTTTTGTAGAATCTGCAAGAGGATATTTGCATAGCTTTGAGGATTCCGTGGGAAACGGGATTGTCTTCAGGTAAAATCTAGACAGAAGCATTCTCAGAAACTTCTTTGGGATGTTTGCATTCAAGTCACAGAGTAGAACATTCCCTTTGGTAGAGCAGGTTTGAAACACTCTTTTTGTAGTATCTGGAAGTGGATATTTGGAGCACTTTCAGGCCCATGTTGGAAAGGGAAATATCTTCCCGTAACAACTAGGCAGAAGCATTCTCTGAAACTTTTTTGAGATGTGTGTACGCAACTAAGAGAATTGAACCACCGTTTTGAAGGAGCAGTTTTGAAACACTCTTTTTCTGGAATCTGCTAGACGATATTTGCCTAGCCTTGAGGATTTCGTTGGAAACGGGATTGTCTTCAGATAAAATCTAGACAGAAGCATTCTCAGAAACTTCTTTGGGATGTTTGTATTCAAGTCACAGAGTAGAACATTCCCTTTGATAGAGCAGGTTTGAAACACTCTTTTTTTAGTATATGGAAATGGACATTTGGAGCGCTTTCAGGCCTACGTTGGAAAAGGAAATATCTTCCCATAACAACTAGACAGAAGCATTCTCAGAAACTAGTTTCTGATGTGTGTCCTCAACTAACACAGTTGAACTTTTCTTTAGACAGAACAGTTTTGAAACACTCTTTTTGTGGAATCTGCAAGTGGATATTTGGCTAGATTTGAGGATTTCGTTGGAAACGGGATTACATATAAAAAGCAGACAGCAGCATTCTCAGAAAGTTCTTTGTGATGATTGCATTCAAGTCACAGAATTGAACATTCCCTTTCACAGAGCAGGTTTGAAACACTCTTTTTGTAGTGTGTGTAAGTGGACATTTGGAGCACTTTCCGGCCTAAGGTGAAAAAGGAAATATCTTCCCATAAAAACTAGACAGAAGCATTCTCAGAAACTTACTCGTGATGTGTGTCCTCAACTAAAGGAGTAGAACCTTTCTATTCATAGAGAAGGTTTGAAACGCTCTTTTTGTGGAATCTCCAAGTGGATATTTGGCTAGTTTTGAGGATTTCGTTGGATGCGGGAATTCATACAAATTGCAGACTGCAGCGTTCTGAGAAACATCTTTGTGATGTTTGTATTCAGGACACAGAGATGAACATTCCCTATCATAGAGCAGGTTGGAATCACTCCTTTTGTAGTATCTGGAAGTGGACATTTGGAGCGCTTTCAGGCCTATGTTGAAAAAGGAAATATCTTCCCATAACAACTAGACACAAGCATTCTCAGAAACTTGTTTGTGATGTGTGCCCTCTGCTGACAGAGTTGAACCTTTCTTTTCATAGAGCAGTTTTGAAACACTCTTTTTGTAGAATCTGCAAGAGGATATTTGCATAGCTTTGAGGATTTCGTGGGAAACGGGATTGTCTTCAGGTAAAATCTAGACAGAAGCATTCTCAGAAACTTCTTTGGGATGTTTGCATTCAAGTCACAGAGTAGAACATTCCCTTTGGTAGAGCAGGTTTGAAACCCTCTTTTTGTAGTATCTGGAAGTGGACATTTGGAGCGCTTTCAGGCCCATGTTGGAAAGGGAAATATCTTCCCGTAACAACTAGGCAGAAGCATTCTCAGAAACTTATTTGAGATGTGTGTACTCAACTGAGAGAATTGAACCACCGTTTTGAAGGAGCAGTTTTGAAACACTCTTTTTCTGGAATCTGCAAGAGTATATTTGCCTAGCCTTGAAGATTTCGTTGGAAACGGGATTGTCTTCAGATAAAATCTAGACAGAAGCATTCTCAGAAACTTATTTGGGATGTTTGCATTCAAGTCACAGAGTAGAACATTCCCTTTGGTAGAGCAGGTTTGAAACACTCTTTTTTTAGTATATGGAAGTGGACATTTGGAGCGCTTTCAGGCCTACGTTGGAAAAGGAAATATCTTCCCATAGCAACTAGACAGAAGCATTCTCAGAAACTAGTTTCTGATGTGTGTCCTCAACTAACACAGTTGAACTTTTCTTTAGACAGAACAGTTTTGAAACACTCTTTTGTGGAATCTGCAAGTGGATATTTGGCTAGATTTGAGGATTTCGTTGGAAACGGGATTACATATAAAAAGCAGACAGCAGCATTCTCAGAAAGTTCTTTGTGATGATTGCATTCAAGTCACAGAATTGAACATTCCCTTTCACAGAGCAGGTTTGAAACACTCTTTTTGTAGTGTGTGTAAGTGGACATTTGGAGCGCTTTCCGGCCTAAGGTGAAAAAGGAAATATCTTCCCATAAAAACTAGACAGAAGCATTCTCAGAAACTTACTCGTGATGTGTGTCCTCAACTAAAGGAGTAGAACCTTTCTATTCATAGAGAAGTTTTGAAACGCTCTTTTTGTGGAATCTCCAAGTGGATATTTGGCTAGTTTTGAGGATTTCGTTGGAAGCGGGAATTCATACAAATTGCAGACTGCAGCGTTCTGAGAAACATCTTTGTGATGTTTGTATTCAGGACACAGAGATGAACATTCCCTATCATAGAGCAGGTTGGAATCACTCCTTTTGTAGTATCTGGAAGTGGACATTTGGAGCGCTTTCAGGCCTATGTTGAAAAAGGAAATATCTTCCCATAACAACTAGACACAAGCATTCTCAGAAACTTGTTTGTGATGTGTGCCCTCTACTGACAGAGTTGAACCTTTCTTTTCATAGAGCAGTTTTGAAACACTCTTTTTGTAGAATCTGCAAGAGGATATTTGCATAGCTTTGAGGATTTCGTGGGAAACGGGATTGTCTTCAGGTAAAATCTAGACAGAAGCATTCTCAGAAACTTCTTTGGGATGTTTGCATTCAAGTCACAGAGTAGAACATTCCCTTTGGTAGAGCAGGTTTGAAACCCTCTTTTTGTAGTATCTGGAAGTGGACATTTGGAGCGCTTTCAGGCCCATGTTGGAAAGGGAAATATCTTCCCGTAACAACGAGGCAGAAGCATTCTCAGAAACTTATTTGAGATGTGTGTACTCAACTAAGAGAATTGAACCACCGTTTTGAAGGAGCAGATTTGAAACACTCTTTTTCTGGAATCTGCAAGAGTATATTTGCCTAGCCTTGAAGATTTCGTTGGAAACGGGATTGTCTTCAGATAAAATCTAGACAGAAGCATTCTCAGAAACTTCTTTGGGATGTTTGCATTCAAGTCACAGAGTAGAACATTCCCTTTGGTAGAGCAGGTTTGAAACACTCTTTTTTTCGTATATGGAAGTGGACATTTGGAGCGCTTTCAGGCCTACGTTGGAAAAGGAAATATCTTCCCATAACAACTAGACAGAAGCATTCTCAGAAACTAGTTTCTGATGTGTGTCCTCAACTAACACAGTTGAACTTTTCTTTAGACAGAACAGTTTTGAAACACTCTTTTTGTGGAATCTGCAAGTGGATATTTGGCTAGATTTGAGGATTTCGTTGGAAACGGGATTACATATAAAAAGCAGACAGCAGCATTCTCAGAAAGTTCTTTGTGATGATTGCATTCAAGTCACAGAATTGAACATTCCCTTTCACAGAGCAGGTTTGAAACACTCTTTTTGTAGTGTGTGTAAGTGGACATTTGGAGCGCTTTCCGGCCTAAGGTGAAAAAGGAAATATCTTCCCATAAAAACTAGACAGAAGCATTCTCAGAAACTTACTCGTGATGTGTGTCCTCAACTAAAGGAGTAGAACCTTTCTATTCATAGAGAAGTTTTGAAACGCTCTTTTTGTGGAATCTCCAAGTGGATATTTGGTTAGTTTTGAGGATTTCGTTGGAAGCGGGAATTCATACAAATTGCAGACTGCAGCGTTCTGAGAAACATATTTGTGATGTTTGTATTCAAGACACAGAGATGAACATTCCCTATCATAGAGCATGTTGGAATCACTCCTTTTGTAGTATCTGGAAGTGGACATTTGGAGCGCTTTCAGGCCTATGTTGAAAAAGGAAATATCTTCCCATAACAACTAGACACAAGCATTCTCAGAAACTTGTTTGTGATGTGTGCCCTCTACTGACAGAGTTGAACCTTTCTTTTCATAGAGCAGTTTTGAAACACTCTTTTTGTAGAATCTGCAAGAGGATATTTGCATAGCTTTGAGGATTTCGTGGGAAACGGGATTGTCTTCAGGTAAAATCTAGACAGAAGCATTCTCAGAAACTTCTTTGGGATGTTTGCATTCAAGTCACAGAGTAGAACATTCCCTTTGGTAGAGCAGGTTTGAAACCCTCTTTTTGTAGTATCTGGAAGTGGACATTTGGAGCGCTTTCAGGCCCATGTTGGAAAGGGAAATATCTTCCCGTAACAACTAGGCAGAAGCATTCTCAGAAACTTATTTGAGATGTGTGTACTCAACTAAGAGAATTGAACCACCGTTTTGAAGGAGCAGTTTTGAAACACTCTTTTTCTGGAATCTGCTAGAGGATATTTGCCTAGCCTTGAGGATTTCGTTGGAAACGGGATTGTCTTCAGATCAAATCTAGACAGAAGCATTCTCAGAAACTTCTTTGGGATGTCTGCATTCAACTCACAGAGTAGAACATTCCCTTTGGTAGAGCAGGTTTGAAACACTCTTTTTTTCGTATATGGAAGTGGACATTTGGAGCGCTTTCAGGCCTACGTTGGAAAAGGAAATATCTTCCCATAACAACTAGACAGAAGCATTCTCAGAAACTAGTTTCTGATGTGTGTCCTCAACTAACACAGTTGAACTTTTCTTTAGACAGAACAGTTTTGAAACACTCTTTTTGTGGAATCTGCAAGTGGCTATTTGGCTAGATTTGAGGATTTCGTTGGAAACGGGATTACATATAAAAAGCAGACAGCAGCATTCTCAGAAAGTTCTTTGTGATGATTGCATTCAAGTCACAGAATTGAACATTCCCTTTCACAGAGCAGGTTTGAAACACTCTTTTTGTAGTGTGTGTAAGTGGACATTTGGAGCGCTTTCCGGCCTAAGGTGAAAAAGGAAATATCTTCCCATAAAAACTAGACTAGAAGCATTCTCAGAAACTTACTCGTGATGTGTGTCCTCAACTAAAGGAGTAGAACCTTTCTTTTCATAGAGAAGTTTTGAAACGCTCTTTTTGTGGAATCTGCAAGTGGATATTTGGCTAGTTTTGAGGATTTCGTTGGAAGCAGGAATTCATACAAATTGCAGACTGCAGCGTTCTGAGAAACATCTTTGTGATGTTTGTATTCAGGACACAGAGTTGAACATTCCCTATCATAGAGCAGGTTGGAATCACTCCTTTTGTAGTATCTGGAAGTGGACATTTGGAGCGCTTTCAGGCCTATGTTGGAAAAGGAAATATCTTCCCATAACAACTAGACAGAAGCATTCTCAGAAACTTATTTGAGATGTGTGTACGCAACTAGGAGAATTGAACCACCGTTTTGAAGGAGCAGTTTTGAAACACTCTTTTTCTGGAATCTGCAAGTGGATATTTGGCTAGCTTTGGGGATTTCGCTGGAAGCGGGAATACATATAAAAAGCACACAGCAGCGTTCTGAGAAACTGCTTTCTGATGTTTGCATTCAAGTCAAAAGTTGAACACTCCCTTTCATAGAGCAGTCTTGAAACACCCCTTTTGTAGTATCGGGAACTGGACATTTGGAGCGCTTTCAGGGCTAAGGTGAAAAAGGAAATATCTTCCCATAAAAACTGGAGAAAAGCATTCTCAGAAACTTGTTTATGCTGTATCTACTCAACTAACAAAGTTGAACCTTTCTTTTGATAGAGCAGTTTTGAAATGCTCTTTTTGTGCAATCTGCAAGTGGATATTTGGCTAGTTTTGAGGATTTCGTTGGAAGCGGGAATTCATACAAATTGCAGACTGCAGCGTTATGAGAAACATCTTTGTGATGTTTGTATTCAGGACACAGAGATGAACATTCCCTATCATAGAGCAGGTTGGAATCACTCCTTTTGTAGTATCTGGAAGTGGACATTTGGAGCGCTTTCAGGCCTATGTTGAAAAAGGAAATATCTTCCCATAGCAACTAGACACAAGCATTCTCAGAAACTTGTTTGTGATGTGTGCCCTCTACTGACAGAGTTGAACCTTTCTTTTCATAGAGCAGTTTTGAAACACTCTTTTTGTAGAATCTGCAAGAGGATATTTGCATAGCTTTGAGGATTTCGTGGGAAACGGGATTGTCTTCAGGTAAAATCTAGACAGAAGCATTCTCAGAAACTTCTTTGGGATGTTTGCATTCAAGTCACAGAGTAGAACATTCCCTTTGGTAGAGCAGGTTTGAAACACTCTTTTTGTAGTATCTGGAAGTGGACATTTGGAGCGCTTTCAGGCCCATGTTGGAAATGGAAATATCTTCCCGTAACAACTAGGCAGAAGCATTCTCAGAAACTTATTTGAGATGTGTGTACTCAACTAAGAGAATTGAACCACCGTTTTGAAGGAGCAGTTTTGAAACCCTCTTTTTCTGGAATCTGAAAGAGTATATTTGCCTAGCCTTGAGGATTTCGTTGGAAACGGGATTGTCTTCAGATAAAATCTAGACAGAAGCATTCTCAGAAACTTCTTTGGGATGTTTGCATTCAAGTCACAGAGTAGAACATTCCCTTTGGTAGAGCAGGTTTGAAACACTCTTTTTTTAGTATATGGAAGTGGACATTTTGATCGCTTTCAGGCCTACGTTGGAAAAGGAAATATCTTCCCATAACAACTAGACAGAAGCATTCTCAGTAAACTAGTTTCTGATGTGTGTCCTCAACTAACACAGTTGTACATTTCTTTAGACAGAACAGTTTTGAAACACTCTTTTTGTGGAATCTGCAAGTGGATATTGGGGTAGATTTGAGGATTTCGTTGGAAACGGGATTACATATAAAAAGCAGTCAGCAGCTTTCTCAGAAAGTTCTTTGTGATGATTGTATTCAAGTCACAGAATTGAACATTCCCTTTCACAGAGCAGGTTTGAAACACACTTTTTGTAGTATGTGTAAGTGGACATTTGGAGCGCTTTCCGGCCTAAGGTGAAAAAGGAAATATCTTCCCATAAAAACTAGACAGAAGCATTCTCAGAAACTGACTCGTGATGGGTGTCCTCAACTAAAGGAGTAGAACCCTTCTTTTCATAAAGAAGTTTTGAAACGCTCTTTTTGTGGAATCTGCAAGTGGATATTTGGCTAGTTTTGAGGATTTCGTTGGAAGCGGGAATTCATACAAATTGCAGACTGCAGCGTTCTGAGAAACATCTTTGTGATGTTTGTATTCAGGACACAGAGTTGAACATTCCCTATCATAGAGCAGGTTGGAATCACTCCTTTTGTAGTATCTGGAAGTGGACATTTGGAGCGCTTTCAGGCCTATGTTGGAAAAGGAAATATCTTCCCATAACAACTAGACAGAAGCATTCTCAGAAACTTATTTGAGATGTGTGTACTCAACTAAGAGAATTGAACCACCGTTTTGAAGGAGCAGTTTTGAAACTCTCTTTTTCTGGAATCTGCAAGTGGATATTTGGCTAGCTTTGGGGATTTCGCTGGAAGCGGGAATACATATAAAAAGCACACAGAAGCGTTCTGAGAAACTGTTTTCTGATGTTTGCACTCAAGTCAAAAGTTGAACACTCCCTTTCATAGAGCAGTCCTGAAACACTCCTTTTGTAGTATCTGGAACTGGACTTTTGGAGCGCTTTCAGGGCTAAGGTGAAAAAGGAAATATCTTCCCATAAAAACTGGACAGAAGCATTCTCAGAAACTTGTTTATGCTGTATCTACTCTACTAAAAAAGTTGAACCTTTCTTTTGATAGAGCAGTTTTGAAATGCTCTTTTTGTGGAATCTGCACGTGGATATTTGGCTAGATTTGAGGATTTCGTTGGAAGCTGGAATACATACAAATTGCAGACTGCAGCGTTCTGAGAAACATCTTTGTGATGTTTGTATTCAGGACACAGAGTTGAACATTCCCTATCATAGAGCAGGTTGGAATCACTCCTTTTGTAGTATCTGGAAGTGGACATTTGGAGCGCTTTCAGGCCTATGTTGAAAAAGGAAATATCTTCCCATAACAACTAGACACAAGCATTCTCAGAAACTTGTTTGTGATGTGTGCCCTCTACTGACAGAGTTGAACCTTTCTTTTCATAGAGCAGTTTTGAAACACTCTTTTTGTAGAATCTGCAAGAGGATATTTGCATAGCTTTGAGGATTTCGTGGGAAACGGGATTGTCTTCAGGTAAAATCTAGACAGAAGCATTCTCAGAAACTTCTTTGGGATGTTTGCATTCAAGTCACAGAGCAGAACATTCCCTTTGGTAGAGCAGGTTTGAAACACTCTTTTTGTAGTATCTGGAAGTGGACATTTGGAGCGCTTTCAGGCCTATGTTGGAAAGGGAAATATCTTCCCGTAACAACTAGGCAGAAGCATTCTCAGAAACTTATTTGAGATGTGTGTACTCAACTAAGAGAATTGAACCACCGTTTTGAAGGAGCAGTTTTGAAACACTCTTTTTCTGGAATCTGCAAGAGGATATTTGCCTAGCCTTGAGGATTTCGTTGGAAACGGGATTGTCTTCAGATCAAATCTAGACAGAAGCATTCTCAGAAACTTCCTTGGGATGTTTGCATTCAAGTCACAGAGTAGAACATTCCCTTTGGTAGAGCAGGTTTGAAACACTCTTTTTTTAGTATATGGAAGTGGACATTTGGAGCGCTTTCAGGCCTACGTTGGAAAAGGAAATATCTTCCCATAACAACTAGACAGAAGCCTTCTCAGAAACTAGTTTCTGATGTGTGTCCTCAACTAACAGAGTTGAACGTTTCTTTTGACAGAACAGTTTAGAAACACTCTTTTTGAGGAATCTGCAAGTGGATATTTGGCTAGATTTGAGGATTTCGTTGGAAACGGGATTACATATAAAAAGCAGACAGCAGCATTCTCAGAAAGTTCTTTGTGATGATTGCATTCAAGTCACAGAATTGAACATTCCCTTTCACAGAGCAGGTTTGAAACACTCTTTTTGTAGTGTGTGTAAGTGGACATGTGGAGCGCTTTCTGGCCTAAGGTGAAAAAGGAAATATCTTCCCATAAAAACTAGACAGAAGCATTCTCAGAAACTTACTCGTGATGTGTGTCCTCAACTAAAGGAGTAGAACCTTTCTATTCATAGAGAAGTTTTGAAACGCTCTTTTTGTGGAATCTCCAAGTGGATATTTGGCTAGTTTTGAGGATTTCGTTGGATGCGGGAATTCATACAAATTGCAGACTGCAGCGTTCTGAGAAACATCTTTGTGATGTTTGTATTCAGGACACAGAGATGAACATTCCCTATCATAGAGCAGGTTGGAATCACTCCTTTTGTAGTATCTGGAAGTGGACATTTGGAGCGCTTTCAGGCCTATGTTGAAAAAGGAAATATCTTCCCATAACAACTAGACACAAGCATTCTCAGAAACTTGTTTGTGATGTGTGCCCTCTGCTGACAGAGTTGAACCTTTCTTTTCATAGAGCAGTTTTGAAACACTCTTTTTGTAGAATCTGCAAGAGGATATTTGCATAGCTTTGAGGATTTCGTGGGAAACGGGATTGTCTTCAGGTAAAATCTAGACAGAAGCATTCTCAGAAACTTCTTTGGGATGTTTGCATTCAAGTCACAGAGTAGAACATTCCCTTTGGTAGAGCAGGTTTGAAACCCTCTTTTTGTAGTATCTGGAAGTGGACATTTGGAGCGCTTTCAGGCCCATGTTGGAAAGGGAAATATCTTCCCGTAACACCTAGGCAGAAGCATTCTCAGAAACTTATTTGAGATGTGTGTACTCAACTAAGAGAATTGAACCACCGTTTTGAAGGAGCAGTTTTGAAACACTCTTTTTCTGGAATCTGCAAGAGTATATTTGCCTAGCTTTGAGGATTTCGTTGGAAACGGGATTGTCTTCCGATAAAATCTAGACAGAAGCATTCTCAGAAACTTCTTTGGGATGCTTGCATTCAAGTCACAGAGTAGAACATTCCCTTTGGTAGAGCAGGTTTGAAACACTCTTTTTGTAGTATCTGGAAGTGGACATTTGGAGCGCTTTCAGGCCTACGTTGGAAAAGGAAATATCTTCCCATAACAACTAGACAGAAGCATTCTCAGAAACTAGTTTCTGATGTGTGTCCTCAACTAACAGAGTTGAACATTTCTTTAGACAGAACAGTTTTGAAACACTCTTTTTGTGGAATCTGCAAGTGGCTATTTGGCTAGATTTGAGGATTTCGTTGGAAACGGGATTACATATAAAAAGCAGTCAGCAGCATTCTCAGAAAGTTCTTTGTGATGATTGCATTCAAGTCACAGAATTGAACATTCCCTTTCACAGAGCAGGTTTGAAACACTCTTTTTGTAGTGTGTGTAAGTGGACATTTGGAGCACTTACCGGCCTAAGGTGAAAAAGGAAATAATCTTCCCATAAAAACTAGACAGAAGCATTCTCAGAAACTTACTCGTGATGTGTGTCCTCAACTAAAGGAGTAGAACCTTTCTATTCTTAGAGAAGTTTTGAAACGCTCTTTTTGTGGAATCTCCAAGTGGATATTTGGCTAGTTTTGAGGATTTCGTTGGAAGCGGGAATTCATACAAATTGCAGACTGCAGCGTTCTGAGAAACATCTTTGTGATGTCTGTATTCAGGACACAGAGATGAACATTCCCTATCATAGAGCAGGTTGGAATCACTCCTTTTGTAGTATCTGGAAGTGGACATTTGGAGCGCTTTCAGGCCTATGTTGAAAAAGGAAATATCTTCCCATAACAACTAGACACAAGCATTCTCAGAAACTTATTTGAGATGTGTGTACTCAACTAAGAGAATTGAACCACCGTTTTGAAGGAGCAGTTTTGAAACACTCTTTTTCTGGAATCTGCAAGTGGATATTTGGCTAGCTTTGGGGATTTCGCTGGAAGCGGGAATACATATAAAAAGCACACAGCAGCGTTCTGAGAAACTGCTTTCTGATGTTTGCATTCAAGTCAAAAGTTGAACACTCCCTTTCATAGAGCAGTCTTGAAACACCCCTTTTGTAGTATCTGGAACTGGACTTTTGAAGCGCTTTCAGGGCTAAGGTGAAAAAGGAAATATCTTCCCATAAAAACTGGACAGAAGCATTCTCAGAAACTTATTTGAGATGTGTGTACTCAACTAAGAGAATTGAACCACCGTTTTGAAGGAGTAGTTTTGAAACACTCTTTTTCTGGAATCTGCAAGTGGATATTTGGCTAGCTTTGGGGATTTCGCTGGAAGCGGGAGTACATATAAAAAGCACACAGCAGCGTTCTGAGAAACTGCTTTCTGATGTTTGCATTCAAGTCAAAAGTTGAACACTCCCTTTCATAGAGCAGTCTTGAAACACCCCTTTTGTAGTATCTGGAACTGGTCATTTCGGGCGCTTTCAGGGCTAAGGTGAAAAAGGAAATATCTTCCCATAAAAACTGGACAGAAGCATTCTCAGAAACTTATTTGAGATGTGTGTACTCAACTAAGAGAATTGAACCACCGTTTTGAAGGAGCAGTTTTGAAACTCTCTTTTTCTGGAATCTGCAAGTGGATATTTGGCTAGCTTGGGGATTTCGCTGGAAGCGGGAATACATATAAAAAGCACACAGCAGCGTTCTGAGTAAACTGCTTTCTGATGTTTGCATTCAAGTCAAAAGTTGAACACTCCCTTTCATAGAGCAGTCCTGAAACACTCCTTTTGTAGTATCTGGAACTGGACTTTTGGAGCGCTTTCAGGGCTAAGGTAAAAAAGGAAATATCTTCCCATAAAAACTGGACAGAAGCATTCTCAGAAACTTGTTTATGCTGTATCTACTCAACTAACAAAGTTGAACCTTTCTTTTGATAGAGCAGTTTTGAAATGCTCTTTTTGTGGAATCTGCAAGTGGATATTTGGCTAGTTTTGAGGATTTCGTTGGAAGCGGGAATTCATACAAATTGCAGACTGCAGCGTTCTGAGAAACATCTTTGTGATGTTTGTATTCAGGACAGAGAGTTGAACATTCCCTATCATAGAGCAGGTTGGAATCACTCCTTTTGTAGTATCTGGAAGTGGACATTTGGAGCGCTTTCAGGCCTATGTTGAAAAAGGAAATATCTTCCCATAACAACTAGACACAAGCATTCTCAGAAACTTGTTTGTGATGTGTGCCCTCTACTGACAGAGTTGAACCTTTCTTTTCATAGAGCAGTTTTGAAACACTCTTTTTGTAGAATCTGCAAGAGGATATTTGCATAGCTTTGAGGATTTCGTGGGAAACGGGATTGTCTTCAGGTAAAATCTAGACAGAAGCATTCTCAGAAACTTCTTTGGGATGTTTGCATTCAAGTCACAGAGTAGAACATTCCCTTTGGTAGAGCAGGTTTGAAACACTCTTTTTGTAGTATCTGGAAGTGGACATTTGGAGCGCTTTCAGGCATATGTTGGAAAGGGAAATATCTTCCCGTAACAACTAGGCAGAAGCATTCTCAGAAACTTATTTGAGATGTGTGTACTCAACTAAGAGAATTGAACCACCGTTTTGAAGGAGCAGTTTTGAAACACTCTTTTTCTGGAATCTGCAAGAGGATATTTGCCTAGCCTTGAGGATTTCGTTGGAAACGGGATTGTCTTCAGATCAAATCTAGACAGACACATTCTCAGAAACTTCTTTGGGATGTTTGCATTCAAGTCACAGAGTAGAACATTCCCTTTGGTAGAGCAGGTTTGAAACACTCTTTTTTTAGTATATGGAAGTGGACATTTGGAGCGCTTTCAGGCCTACTTTGGAAAAGGAAATATCTTCCCATAACAACTAGACAGAAGCATTCTCAGAAACTAGTTTCTGATGTGTGTCCTCAACTAACACAGTTGAACATTTCTTTAGACAGAACAGTTTTGAAACACTCTTTTTGTGGAATCTGCAAGTGGCTATTTGGCTAGATTTGAGGATTTCGTTGGAAACGGGATTACATATAAAAAGCAGACAGCAGCATTCTCAGAAAGTTCTTTGTGATGATTGCATTCAAGTCACAGAATTGAACATTCCCTTTCACAGAGCAGGTTTGAAACACTCTTTTTGTAGTGTGTGTAAGTGGACATTTGGAGCACTTTCCGGCCTAAGGTGAAAAAGGAAATATCTTCCCATAAAAACTAGACAGAAGCACTCTCAGAAACTTACTCATGATGTGTGTCCTCAACTAAAGGAGTAGAACCTTTCTTTTCATAGAGAAGTTTTGAAACGCTCTTTTTGTGGAATCTGCAAGTGGATATTTGGCTAGTTTGGAGGATTTCGTTGGAAGCGGGAATTCATACAAATTGCAGACTGCAGCGTTCTGAGAAACATCTTTGTGATGTTTGTATTCAGGACACAGAGTTGAACGTTCCCTATCATAGAGCAGGTTTGAATCACTCCTTTTGTAGTATCTGGAAGTGGACATTTGGAGCGCTTTCCGGCCTCAGGTGAAAAAGGAAATATCTTCCCATAAAAACTAGACAGAAGCATTCTCAGAAACTTATTTGAGATGTGTGTACTCAACTAAGAGAATTGAACCACCGTTTTGAAGGAGCAGTTTTGAAACACTCTTTTTCTGGAATCTGCAAGTGGATATTTGGCTAGCTTTGGGGATTTCGCTGGAAGCGGGAATACATATAAAAAGCACACAGCAGCGTTCTGAGAAACTGCTTTCTGATGTTTGCATTCAAGTCAAAAGTTGAACACTCCCTTTCATAGAGCAGTCCTGAAACACTCCTTTTGTAGTATCTGGAACTGGACTTTTGGAGCGCTTTCAGGGCTAAGGTGAAAAAGGAAATATCTTCCCATAAAAACTGGACAGAAGCATTCTCAGAAACTTGTTTATGCTGTATCTACTCAACTAACAAAGTTGAACCTTTCTTTTGATAGAGCAGTTTTGAAATGCTCTTTTTGTGGAATCTGCAAGTGGATATTTGGCTAGTTTTGAGGATTTCGTTGGGAGCGGGAATTCATACAAATTGCAGACTGCAGCGTTCTGAGAAACATCTTTGTGATGTTTGTATTCAGGACAGAGAGTTGAACATTCCCTATCATAGAGCAGGTTGGAATCACTCCTTTTGTAGTATCTGGAAGTGGACATTTGGAGCGCTTTCAGGCCTATGTTGAAAAAGGAAATATCTTCCCATAACAACTAGACACAAGCATTCTCAGAAACTTGTTTGTGATGTGTGCCCTCTACTGACAGAGTTGAACCTTTCTTTTCATAGAGCAGTTTTGAAACACTCTTTTTGTAGAATCTGCAAGAGGATATTTGCATAGCTTTGAGGATTTCGTGGGAAACGGGATTGTCTTCAGGTAAAATCTAGACAGAAGCATTCTCAGAAACTTCTTTGGGATGTTTGCATTCAAGTCACAGAGCAGAACATTCCCTTTGGTAGAGCAGGTTTGAATCACTCCTTTTGTAGTATCTGGAAGTGGACATTTGGAGCGCTTTCAGGCCCATGTTGGAAAGGGAAATATCTTCCCGTAACAACTAGGCAGAAGCATTCTAAGAAACTTATTTGAGATGTGTGTACTCAACTAAGAGAATTGAACCACCGTTTTGAAGGAGCAGTTTTGAAACACTCTTTTTCTGGAATCTGCAAGAGGATATTTGCCTAGCTTTGAGGATTTCGTTGGAAACGGGATTGTGTTCAGATCAAATCTAGACAGAAGCATTCTCAGAAACTTCTTTGGGATGTTTGCATTCAAGTCACAGAGTAGAACATTCCCTTTGGTAGAGCAGGTGTGAAACACTCTTTTTTTAGTATATGGAAGTGGACATTTGGAGCGCTTTCAGGCCTACGTTGGAAAAGGAAATATCTTCCCATAACAACTAGACAGAAGCATTCTCAGAAACTAGTTTCTGATGTGTGTCCTCAACTAACACAGTTGAACATTTCTTTAGACAGAACAGTTTTGAAACTCTCTTTTTGTGGAATCTGCAAGTGGCTATTTGGCTAGATTTGAGGATTTCGTTGGAAACGGGATTACATATAAAAAGCAGACAGCAGCATTCTCAGAAAGTTCTTTGTGATGATTGCATTCAAGTCACAGAATTGAACATTCCCTTTCACAGAGCAGGTTTGAAACACTCTTTTTGTAGTGTGTGTAAGTGGACATTTGGAGCACTTTCCGGCCTAAGGTGAAAAAGGAAATATCTTCCCATAAAAACTAGACAGAAAGCATTCTCAGAAACTTACTCGTGATGTGTGTCCTCAACTAAAGGAGTAGAACCTTTCTTTCATAGAGAAGTTTTGAAACGCTCTTTTTGTGGAATCTGCAAGTGGATATTTGGCTAGTTTGGAGGATTTCGTTGGAAGCGGGAATTCATACAAATTGCAGACTGCAGCATTCTCAGAAACTTCTTTGGGATGTTTGCATTCAAGTCACAGAGTAGAACATTCCCTTTGGTAGAGCATGTTTGAAACACTCTTTTTTTAGTATATGGAAGTGGACATTTGGAGCGCTTTCAGGCCTACGTTGGAAAAGGAAATATCTTCCCATAACAACTAGACAGAAGCATTCTCAGAAACTAGTTTCTGATGTGTGTCCTCAACTAACACAGTTGAACATTTCTTTAGACAGAACAGTTTTGAAACACTCTCTTTGTGGAAACTGCAAGTGGATATTTGGCTAGATTTGAGGATTTCGTTGGAAACGGGATTACATATAAAAAGCAGACAGCAGCATTCTCAGAAACTTCTTTGTGATGATTGCATTCAAGTCACAGAATTGAACATTCCCTTTCACAGAGCAGGTTTGAAACACTCTTTTTTTAGTATATGGAAGTGGACATTTGGAGCGCTTTCAGGCCTACGTTGGAAAAGGAAATATCTTCCCATAACAACTAGACAGAAGCATTCTCAGAAACTTACTCGTGATGTGTGTCCTCCACTAAATGAGTAGAACCTTTCTTTTCATAGAGAAGTTTTGAAACACTCTTTTTGTAGAATCTGCAAGAGGATATTTGCATAGCTTTGAGGATTTCGTGGGAAACGGGATTGTCTTCAGGTAAAATCTAGACAGAAGCATTCTCAGAAACTTCTTTGGGATGTTTGCATTCAAGTCACAGAGTAGAACATTCCCTTTGGTAGAGCAGGTTTCAAACACTCTTTTTGTAGTATCTGGAAGTGGACATTTGAAGCGCTTTCAGGCCTATGTTGGAAAGGGAAATATCTTCCCGTAACAACTAGGCAGAAGCATTCTCAGAAACTTATTTGAGATGTGTGTACTCAACTAAGAGAATTGAACCACCGTTTTGAAGGCGCAGTTTTGAAACACTCTTTTTCTGGAATCTGCAAGAGTATATTTGCCTAGCCTTGACGATTTCGTTGGAAACGTGGTTGTCTTCAGATAAAATCTAGACAGAAGCATTCTCAGAAACTTCTTTGGGATGTTTGCATTCAAGTCACAGAGTAGAACATTCCCTTTGGTAGAGCAGGTTGGAAACACTCTTTTTTTAGTATATGGAAGTGGACATTTTGATCGCTTTCAGGCCTACGTTGGAAAAGGAAATATCTTCCCATAACGACTAGACAGAAGCATTCTCAGAAACTAGTTTCTGATGTGTGTCCTCAACTAACACAGTTGAACATTTCCTTAGACAGAACAGTTTTGAAACACTCTTTTTGTGGAATCTGCAAGTGGCTATTTGGCTAGATTTGAGGATTTCTTTGGAAACGGGATTACATATAAAAAGCAGTCAGCAGCATTCTCAGAAAGTTCTTTGTGATGATTGCATTCAAGTCACAGAATTGAACATTCCCTTTCACAGAGCAGGTTTGAAACACTCTTTTTGTAGTGTGTGTAAGTGGACATTTGGAGCGCTTTCCGGCCTAAGGTGAAAAAGGAAATATCTTCCCATAGAAACTAGAGAGAAGCATTCTCAGAAACTTACTCGTGATGTGTGTCCTCAACTAAAGGAGTAGAACCTTTCTATTCATAGAGAAGTTTTGAAACGCTCTTTTTGTGGAATCTCCAAGTGGATATTTGGCTAGTTTTGAGGATTTCGTTGGAAGCGGGAATTCATACAAATTGCAGACTGCAGCGTTCTGAGAAACATCTTTGTGATGTTTGTATTCAGGACACAGAGATGAACATTCCCTATCATAGAGCAGGTTGGAATCACTCCTTTTGTAGTATCTGGAAGTGGACATTTGGAGCGCTTTCAGGCCTATGTTGAAAAAGGAAATATCTTCCCATAACAACTAGACACAAGCATTCTCAGAAACTTGTTTGTGATGTGTGCCCTCTACTGACAGAGTTGAACCTTTCTTTTCATAGAGCAGTTTTGAAACACTCTTTTTGTAGAATCCGCAAGAGGATATTTGCACAGCTTTGAGGATTTCGTGGGAAACGGGATTGTCTTCAGGTAAAATCTAGACAGAAGCATTCTCAGAAACTTCTTTGGGATGTTTGCATTCAAGTCACAGAGTAGAACATTCCCTTTCGTAGAGCAGGTTTGAAACACTCTTTTTGTAGTATCTGGAAGTGGACATTTGGAGCGCTTTCAGGCCCATGTTGGAAAGGGAAATATCTTCCCGTAACAACTAGGCAGAAGCATTCTCAGAAACTTGTTTGTGATGTGTGCCCTCTACTGACAGAGTTGAACCTTTCTTTTCATAGAGCAGTTTCGAAACACTCTTTTTGTTGAATCTGCAAGAGGTTATTTGCATAGCTTTGAGGATTTCGTTGGAAACGGGATTGTCTTCAGGTAAAATCTAGACAGAAGCATTCTCAGAAACTCCTTTGGGATGTTTGCATTCAAGTCACAGAGTAGAACATTCCCTTTGGTAGAGCAGGTTTGAAACACTCTTTTTGTAGTATCTGGAAGTGGACATTTGGAACGCTTTCAGGCCTACGTTGGAAAAGGAAATATCTTCTCATAACAACTAGACAGAAGCATTCTCAGAAAGTAGTTTCTGATGTGTGTCCTCAACTGACACAGTTGTACATTTCTTTAGACAGAACAGTTTTGAAACACTCTTTTTGTGGAATCTGCAAGTGGATATTGGGCTAGATTTGAGGATTTCGTTGGAAACGGGATTACATATAAAAAGCAGTCAGCAGCATTCTCAGAAAGTTCTTTGTGATGATTGCATTCAAGTCACAGAATTGAACATTCCCTTTCACAGAGCAGGTTTGAAACACTCTTTTTGTAGTGTGTGTAAGTGGACATTTGGAGCGCTTTCCGGCCTAAGGTGAAAAAGGACATATCTTCCCATAAAAATTAGACAGAAGCATTCTCAGAAACTTACTCGTGATGTGTGTCCTCAACTAAAGGAATAGAACCTTTCTATTCATAGAGAAGTTTTGAAACGCTCTTTTTGTGGAATCTCCAAGTGGATATTTGGCTAGTTTTGAGGATTTCGTTGGAAGCAGGAATTCATACAAATTGCAGACTGCAGCGTTCTGAGAAACATCTTTGTGATGTTTGTATTCAGGACACAGAGTTGAACATTCCCTATCATAGAGCAGGTTGGAATCACTCCTTTTGTAGTATCTGGAAGTGGACATTTGGAGCGCTTTCAGGCCTATGTTGGAAAAGGAAATATCTTCCCATAACAACTAGACAGAAGCATTCTCAGAAACTTATTTGAGATGTGTGTACTCAACTAAGAGAATTGAACCACCGTTTTGAAGGAGCAGTTTTGAAACTCTCTTTTTCTGGAATCTGCAAGTGGATATTTGGCTAGCTTTGGGGATTTCGCTGGAAGCGGGAATACATATAAAAAGCACACAGCAGCGTTCTGAGAAACTGCTTTCTGATGTTTGCATTCAAGTCAAAAGTTGAACACTCCCTTTCATAGAGCAGTCTTGAAACACCCCTTTTGTAGTATCTGGAACTGGACTTTTGGAGCGATTTCAGGGCTAAGGTGAAAAAGGAAATATCTTCCCATAAAAACTGGACAGAAGCATTCTCAGAAACTTGGTTATGCTGTATCTACTCAACTAACAAAGTTGAACCTTTCTTTTGATAGAGCAGTTTTGAAATGGTCTTTTTGTGGAATCTGCAAGTGGATATTTGGCTAGTTTTGAGGATTTCGTTGGAAGCGGGAATTCATACAAATTGCAGACTGCAGCGTTCTGAGAAACATCTTTGTGATGTTTGTATTCAAGACACAGAGGTGAACATTCCCTATCATAGAGCATGTTGGAGTCACTCCTTTTGTAGTATCTGGAAGTGGACATTTGGAGCGCTTTCAGGCCTATGTTGAAAAAGGAAATATCTTCCCATAACAACTAGACACAAGCATTCTCAGAAACTTGTTTGTGATGTGTGCCCTCTACTGACAGAGTTGAACCTTTCTTTTCATAGAGCAGTTTTGAAACACTCTTTTTGTAGAATCTGCAAGAGGATATTTGCATAGCTTTGAGGATTTCGTGGGAAACGGGATTGTCTTCAGGTAAAATCTAGACAGAAGCATTCTCAGAAACTCCTTTGGGATGTTTGCATTCAAGTCACAGAGTAGAACATTCCCTTTGGTAGAGCAGGTTTGCAACACTCTTTTTGTAGTATCTGGAAGTGGACATTTGGAGCGCTTTCAGGCCCATGTTGGAAAGGGAAATATCTTCCCGTAACAACTAGGCAGAAGCATTCTCAGAAACTTATTTGAGATGTGTGTACTCAACTAAGAGAATTGAACCACCGTTTTGAAGGAGCAGTTTTGAAACACTCTTTTTCTGGAATCTGCAAGAGGATATTTGCCTAGCCTTGAGGATTTCGTTGGAAACGGGATTGTCTTCAGATCAAATCTAGACAGAAGCATTCTCAGAAACTTCTTTGGGTGTTTGCATTCAATTCACAGAGTAGAACATTCCCTTTGTTAGAGCAGGTTTGAAACACTCTTTTTTTAGTATATGGAAGTGGACATTTGGAGCGCTTTCAGGCCTACGTTGGAAAAGGAAATATCTTCCCATAACAACTAGACAGAAGCATTCTCAGAAACTAGTTTCTGATGTGTGTCCTCAACTAACACAGTTGAACATTTCTTTAGACAGAACAGTTTTGAAACTCTCTTTTTGTGGAATCTGCAAGTGGCTATTTGGCTAGATTTGAGGATTTCGTTGGAAACGGGATTACATATAAAAAGCAGACAGCACAGCATTCTCAGAAACTTCTTTGTGATGATTGCATTCAAGTCACAGAATTGAACATTCCCTTTCACAGAGCAGGTTTGAAACACTCTTTTTGTAGTGTGTGTAAGTGGACATTTGGAGCACTTTCCGGCCTAAGGTGAAAAAGGAAATATCTTCCCATAAAAACTAGACAGAGCATTCTCAGAAACTTACTCGTGATGTGTGTCCTCAACTAAAGGAGTAGAACCTTTCTTTTCATAGAGAAGTTTTGAAACGCTCTTTTTGTGGAATCTGCAAGTGGATATTTGGCTAGTTTTGAGGATTTCGTTGGAAGCGGGAATTAATACAAATTGCAGACTGCAGCGTTCTGAGAAACATCTTTGTGATGTTTGTATTCAGGACACAGAGTTGAACATTCCCTATCATAGAGCAGGTTTGAATCACTCCTTTTGTAGTATCTGGAAGTGGACATTTGGAGTGCTTTCAGGCCTATGTTGGAAAAGGAAATATCTTCCCATAACAACTAGACAGAAGCATTCTCAGAAACTTATTTGAGATGTGTGTACTCAACTAAGAGAATTGAACCACCGTTTTGAAGGAGCAGTTTTGAAACACTCTTTTTCTGGAATCTGCAAGTGGATATTTGGCTAGCTTTGGGGATTTCGCTGGAAGCGGGAATACATATAAAAAGCACACAGCAGCGTTCTGAGAAACTGCTTTCTGATGTTTGCATTCAAGTCAAAAGTTGAACACTCCCTTTCATAGAGCAGTCTTGAAACACCCCTTTTGTAGTATCTGGAACTGGACTTTTGGAGCGATTTCAGGGCTAAGGTGAAAAAGGAAATATCTTCCCATAAAAACTGGACAGAAGCATTCTCAGAAACTTGTTTATGCTGTATCTACTCAACTAACAAAGTTGAACCTTTCTTTTGATAGAGCAGTTTTGAAATGCTCTTTTTGTGGAATCTGCAAGTGGATATTTGGCTAGTTTTGAGGATTTCGTTGGAAGCGGGAATTCATACAAATTGCAGACTGCAGCGTTCTGAGAAACATCTTTGTGATGTTTGTATTCAGGACACAGAGTTGAACATTCCCTATCATAGAGCAGGTTTGAATCACTCCTTTTGTAGTATCTGGAAGTGGACATTTGGAGCGCTTTCAGGCCTATGTTGGAAAAGGAAATATCTTCCCATAACAACTAGACAGAAGCATTCTCAGAAACTTGTTGGTGATGTGTTTCCTCTACTGACAGAGTTGAACCTTTCTTTTCATAGAGCAGTTTCGAAACACTCTTTTTGTAGAATCTGCAAGAGGATATTTGCATAGCTCTGAGGATTTCGTGGGAAACGGGATTGTCTTCAGGTAAAATCTAGACAGAAGCATTCTCAGAAACTTCTTTGGGATGTTTGCATTCAAGTCACAGAGCAGAACATTCCCTTTGGTAGAGCAGGTTTGAAACACTCTTTTTGTAGTATCTGGAAGTGGACATTTGGAGCGCTTTCAGGCCTATGTTGGAAAGGGAAATATCTTCCCGTAACAACTAGGCAGAAGCATTCTCAGAAACTTATTTGAGATGTGTGTACTCAACTAAGAGAATTGAACCACCGTTTTGAAGGAGCAGTTTTGAAACACTCTTTTTCTGGAATCTGCAAGAGGATATTTGCCTAGCCTTGAGGATTTCGTTGGAAACGGGATTGTCTTCAGATCAAATCTAGACAGAAGCATTCTCAGAAACTTCTTTGGGATGTTTGCATTCATGTCACAGAGTAGAACATTCCCTTTGGTAGAGCAGGTTTGAAACACTCTTTTTTTAGTATATGGAAGTGGACATTTGGAGCGCTTTCAGGCCTACGTTGGAAAAGGAAATATCTTCCCATAACAACTAGACAGAAGCATTCTCAGAAACTAGTTTCTGATGTGTGTCCTCAACTAACACAATTGAACATTTCTTTAGACAGAACAGTTTTGAAACACTCTTTTTGTGGAATCTGCAAGTGGCTATTTGGCTAGATTTGAGGATTTCGTTGGAAACGGGATTACATATAAAAAGCAGACAGCAGCATTCTCAGAAAGTTCTTTGTGATGATTGCATTCAAGTCACAGAATTGAACATTCCCTTTCACAGAGCAGGTTTGAAACACTCTTTTTGTAGTGTGTGTAAGTGGACATTTGGAGCACTTTCCGGCCTAAGGTGAAAAAGGAAATATCTTCCCATAAAAACTAGACAGAAGCATTCTCAGAAACTTACTCGTGATGTGTGTCCTCAACTAAAGGAGTAGAACCTTTCTTTTCATAGAGAAGTTTTGAAACGCTCTTTTTGTGGAATCTGCAAGTGGATATTTGGCTAGTTTGGAGGATTTCGTTGGAAGCGGGAATTCATACAAATTGCAGACTGCAGCGTTCTGAGAAACATCTTTGTGATGTTTGTATTCAGGACACAGAGTTGAACATTCCCTATCATAGAGCAGGTTGGAATCACTCCTTTTGTAGTATCTGGAAGTGGACATTTGGAGCGCTTTCAGGCCTATGTTGGAAAAGGAAATATCTTCCCATAACAACTAGACAGAAGCATTCTCAGAAACTTATTTGAGATGTGTGTACTCAACTAAGAGAATTGAACCACCGTTTTGAAGGAGCAGTTTTGAAACTCTCTTTTTCTGGAATCTGCAAGTGGATATTTGGCTAGCTTTGGGGATTTCGCTGGAAGCGGGAATACATATAAAAAGCACACAGCAGCGTTCTGAGAAACTGCTTTCTGATGTTTGCATTCAAGTCAAAAGTTGAACACTCCCTTTCATAGAGCAGTCTTGAAACACCCCTTTTGTAGTATCTGGAACTGGACATTTGGAGCGCTTTCAGGGCTAAGGTGAAAAAGGAAATGTCTTCCCATAAAAACTGGACAGAAGCATTCTCAGAAACTTGTTTATGCTGCATCTACTCTACTAACAAAGTTGAACCTTTCTTTTGATAGAGCAGTTTTGAAATGCTCTTTTTGTGGAATCTGCAAGTGGATATTTGGCTAGTTTTGAGGATTTCGTTGGAAGCTGGAATTCATACAAATTGCAGACTGCAGCGTTCTGAGAAACATCTTTGTGATGTTTGTATTCAGGACACAGAGTGGAACATTCCCTATCATAGAGCAGGTTGGAATCACTCCTTTTGCAGTATCTGGAAGTGGACATTTGGAGCGCTTTCAGGCCTATTTTGGAAAGGGAAATATCTTCCCGTAACAACTAGGCAGAAGCATTCTCAGAAACTTGTTTGTGATGTGTGCCCTCTACTGACAGAGTTGAACCTTTCTTTTCATAGAGCAGTTTTGAAACACTCTTTTTGTAGAATCTGCAAGAGGATATTTGCATAGCTTTGAGGATTTCGTGGGAAACGGGATTGTCTTCAGGTAAAATCTAGACAGAAGCATTCTCAGAAACTTCTTTGGGATGTTTGCATTCAAGTCACACAGTAGAACATTCCCTTTGGTAGAGCAGGTTTGAAACACTCTTTTTGTAGTATCTGGAAGTGGACATTTGGAGCGCTTTCAGGCCTATGTTGGAAAGGGAAATATCTTCCCTTAACAACTAGGCAGAAGCATTCTCAGAAACTTGTTCGTGATATGTGCCCTCTACTGACAGAGTTGAACCTTTCCTTTCATAGAGCAGTTTCCAAACACTCTTTGTGTAGAATCTGCAAGAGGATATTTGCATAGCTTTGAGGATTTCGTTGGAAACGGGATTGTCTTCAGGAAAAATCTAGACAGAAGCATTCTCAGAAACTTGTTTGGGATGTTTGCATTCAAGTCACAGAGTAGAACATTCCCTTTGGTAGAGCAGGTTTGAAACACTCTTTTTGTAGTATCTGGAAGTGGACATTTGGAGCGCTTTCAGGCCTACGTTGGAAAAGGAAATATCTTCCCATAACAACTAGACAGAAGCCTTCTCAGAAACTAGTTTCTGATGTGTGTCCTCAACTAACAGAGTTGAACCTTTCTTTTGACAGAACAGTTTAGAAACACTCTTTTTGAGGAATCTGCAAGTGGATATTTGGCTAGATTTGAGGATTTCGTTGGACACGGGATTACATATAAAAAGCAGACAGCAGCATTCTCAGAAAGTTCTTTGTGATGATTGCATTCAAGTCACAGAATTGAACATTCCCTTTCACAAAGCAGGTTTGAAACACTCTTTTTGTAGTGTGTGTAAGTGGACATTTGGAACCCTTACCGGCCTAAGGTGAAAAAGGAAATATCTTCCCATAAAAACTAGACAGAAGCATTCTCAGAAACTTACTCGTGATGTGTGCCCTCAGCTAAAGGAGTAGAACCTTTCTTTTCATAGAGAAGTTTTGAAACGCTCTTTTTGTGGAATCTGCAAGTGGATATTTGGCTAGTTTTGAGGATTTCGTTGGAAGCGGGAATTCATACAAATTGCAGACTGCAGCGTTCTGAGAAACATCTTTGTGATGTTTGTATTCAGGACACAGAGATGAACATTCCCTATCATAGAGCAGGTTGGAATCACTCCTTTTGTAGTATCTGGAAGTGGACATTTGGAGCGCTTTCAGGCCTATGTTGAAAAAGGAAATATCTTCCCATAACAACTAGACACAAGCATTCTCAGAAACTTGTTTGTGATGTGTGACCTCTACTGACAGAGTTGAACCTTTCTTTTCATAGAGCAGTTTTGAAACACTCTTTTTGTAGAATCTGCAAGAGGATATTTGCATAGCTTTGAGGATTTCGTGGGAAACGGGATTGTCTTCAGGTAAAATCTAGACAGAAGCATTCTCAGAAACTTCTTTGGGATGTTTGCATTCAAGTCACAGAGTAGAACATTCCCTTTGGTAGAGCAGGTTTGAAACCCTCTTTTTGTAGTATCTGGAAGTGGACATTTGGAGCGCTTTCAGGCCCATGTTGGAAAGGGAAATATCTTCCCGTAACAACTAGGCAGAAGCATTCTCAGAAACTTATTTGAGATGTGTGTACTCAACTAAGAGAATTGAACCACCGTTTTGAAGGAGCAGTTTTGAAACACTCTTTTTCTGGAATCTGCAAGAGTATATTTGCCTAGCCTTGAGGATTTCGTTGGAAACGGGATTGTCTTCAGATAAAATCTAGACAGAAGCATTCTCAGAAACTTCTTTGAGATGTTTGCATTCAAGTCACAGAGTAGAAGATTCCCTTTGGTAGAGCAGGTTTGAAACACTCTTTTTTTCGTATATGGAAGTGGACATTTGGAGCGCTTTCAGGCCTACGTTGGAAAAGGAAATATCTTCCCATAACAACTAGACAGAAGCATTCTCAGAAACTAGTTTCTGATGTGTGTCCTCAACTAACACAGTTGTACACTTCTTTAGACAGAACAGTTTTGAAACACTCTTTTTGTGGAATCTGCAAGAGGATATTTGGCTAGATTTGAGGATTTCGTTGGAAACGGGATTACATATAAAAAGCAGACAGCAGCATTCTCAGAAAGTTCTTTGTGATGATTGTATTCAAGTCACAGAATTGAACATTCCCTTTCACAGAGCAGGTTTGAAACACTCTTTTTGTAGTATGTGTAAGTGGACATTTGGAGCCCTTCTGGCCTAAGGTGAAAAAGGAAATATCTTCCCATAAAAACTAGACAGAAGCATTCTCAGAAACTTACTCGTGATGTGTGTCCTCAACTAAAGGAGTAGAACCTTTCTTTTCATAGAGAAGTTTTGAAACGCTCTTTTTGTGGAATCTGCAAGTGGATATTTGGCTAGTTTGGAGGATTTCGTTGGAAGCGGGAATTCATACAAATTGCAGACTGCAGCGTTCTGAGAAACATCTTTGTGATGTTTGTATTCAGGACACAGAGTTGAACATTCCCTATCATAGAGCAGGTTGGAATCACTCCTTTTGTAGTATCTGGAAGTGGACATTTGGAGCGCTTTCAGGCCTATGTTGGAAAAGGAAATATCTTCCCATAACAACTAGACAGAAGCATTCTCAGAAACTTATTTGAGATGTGTGTACTCAACTAAGAGAATTGAACCACCGTTTTGAAGGAGCAGTTTTGAAACACTCTTTTTCTGGAATCTGCAAGTGGATATTTGGCTAGCTTTGGGGATTTCGCTGGAGGCGGGAATACATATAAAAAGCACACAGCAGCGTTCTGAGAAACTGCTTTCTGATGTTTGCATTCAAGTCAAAAGTTGAACACTCCCTTTCATAGAGCAGTCCTGAAACACTCCTTTTGTAGTATCTGGAACTGGACTTTTGGAGCGCTTTCAGGGCTAAGGTGAAAAAGGAAATATCTTCCCATAAAAACTGGACAGAAGCATTCTCAGAAACTTGTTTATGCTGTATCTACTGAACTAACAAATTTGAACCTTTCTTTTGATAGAGCAGTTTTGAAATGCTCTTTTTGTGGAATCTGCAAGTGGATATTTGGCTAGTTTTGAGGATTTCGTTGGAAGCGGGAATTCATACAAATTGCAGACTGCAGCGTTCTGAGAAACATCTTTGTGGTGTTTGTATTCAGGACAGAGGGTTGAACATTCCCTATCATAGAGCAGGTTGGAATCACTCCTTTTGTAGTATCTGGAAGTGGACATTTGGAGCGCTTTCTGGCCTATGTTGAAAAAGGAAATATCTTCCCATAACAACTAGACACAAGCATTCTCAGAAACTTGTTTGTGATGTGTGCCCTCTACTGACAGAGTTGAACCTTTCTTTTCATAGAGCAGTTTTGAAACACTCTTTTTGTAGAATCTGCAAGAGGATATTTGCATAGCTTTGAGGATTTCGTGGGAAACGGGATTGTCTTCAGGTAAAATCTAGACAGAAGCATTCTCAGAAACTTTTTTGGGATGTTTGCATTCAAGTCACAGAGTAGAACATTCCCTTTGGTAGAGCAGGTTTGAAACACTCTTTTTGTAGTATCTGGAAGTGGACATTTGGAGCACTATCAGGCCCATGTTGGAAAGGGAAATATCTTCCCGTAACAACTAGGCAGAAGCATTCTCAGAAACTTATTTGAGATGTGTGTACTCAACTAAGAGAATTGAACCACCGTTTTGAAGGAGCAGTTTTGAAACACTCTTTTTCTGGAATCTGCAAGAGTATATTTGCCTAGCCTTGAGGATTTCTTTGGAAACGGGATTGTCTTCAGATAAAATCTAGACAGAAGCATTCTCAGAAACTTCTTTGGGATGTTTGCATTCAAGTCACAGAGTAGAACATTCCCTTTGGTAGAGCAGGTTTGAAACACTCTTTTTTTAGTATATGGAAGTGGACATTTGGAGCGCTTTCAGGCCTATGTTGGAAAAGGAAATATCTTCCCATTACAACTAGACAGAAGCATTCTCAGAAACTTGTTTCTGATGTGTTTCCTCAACTAACACAGTTGAACATTTCTTTAGACAGAACAGTTTTGAAACACTCTTTTTGTGGAATCTGCAAGGGGCTATTTGGCTAGATTTGAGGATTTCGTTGGAAACGGGATTACATATAAAAAGCAGACAGCAGCATTCTCAGAAACTTCTTTGTGATGATTGCATTCAAGTCACAGAATTGAACATTCCCTTTCACAGAGCAGGTTTGAAACACTCTTTTTGTAGTGTGTGTAAGTGGACATTTGGAGCGCTTTTCGGCCTAAGGTGAAAAAGGAAATATCTTCCCATAAAAATTAGACAGAAGCATTCTCAGAAACTTACTCGTGATGTGTTTCCTCAACTAAAGGAGTAGAACCTTTCTATTCATAGAGAAGTTTTGAAATGCTCTTTTTGTGGAATCTACAAGTGGATATTTGGCTAGTTTTGAGGATTTCGTTGAAAGCGGGAATTCATACAAATTGCAGACTGCAGCGTTCCGAGAAACATCTTTGTGATGTTTGTATTCAGGACACAGAGATGAACATTCCCTATCATAGAGCAGGTTGGAATCACTCCTTTTGTAGTATCTGGAAGTGGACATTTGGAGCGCTTTCAGGCCTATGTTGAAAAAGGAAATATCTTCCCATAACAACTAGACACAAGCATTCTCAGAAACTTATTTGAGATGTGTGTACTCAACTAAGAGAATTGAACCACCGTTTTGAAGGAGCAGTTTTGAAACTCTCTTTTTCTGGAATCTGCAAGTGGATATTTGGCTAGCTTTGGGGATTTCGCTGGAAGCGGGAATACATATAAAAAGCACACAGCAGCGTTCTGAGAAACTGCTTTCTGATGTTTGCATTCAAGTCAAAAGTTGAACACTCCCTTTCATAGAGCAGTCCTGAAACACCCCTTTTGTAGTATCTGGAACTGGACTTTTGGAGCGATTTCAGGGCTAAGGTGAAAAAGGAAATATCTTCCCATAAAAACTGGACAGAAGCATTCTCAGAAACTTGTTTATGCTGTATCTACTCAACTAACAAAGTTGAACCTTTCTTTTGATAGAGCAGTTTTGAAATGCTCTTTTTGTGGAATCTGCAAGTGGATAGTTGGCTAGGTTTGAGGATTTCGTTGGAAGCGGGAATTCATACAAATTGCAGACTGCAGCGTTCTGAGAAACATCTTTGTGATGTTTGTATTCAGGACACAGAGTTGAACATTCGCTATCATAGAGCAGGTTGGAATCACTCCTTTTGTTGTATCTGGAAGTGGACATTTGGAGCGCTTTCAGGCCTATGTTGAAAAAGGAAATATCTTCCCATAACAACTAGGCAGAAGCATTCTCAGAAACTTGTTTGTGATGTGTGCCCTCTACTGACAGAGTTGAACCTTTCTTTTCATAGAGCAGTTTTGAAACACTCTTTTTGTAGAATCTGCAAGAGGATATTTGCATAGCTTTGAGGATTTCGTGGGAAACGGGATTGTCTTCAGGTAAAATCTAGACAGAAGCATTCTCAGAAACTTCTTTGGGATGTTTGCATTCAAGTCACAGGAGTAGAACATTCCCTTTGGTAGAGCAGGTTTGAAACCCTCCTTTTGTAGTATCTGGAAGTGGACATTTGGAGCGCTTTCAGGCCCATGTTGGAAAGGGAAATATCTTCCCGTAACAACTAGGCAGAAGCATTCTCAGAAACTTATTTGAGATGTGTGTACTCAACTAAGAGAATTGAACCACCGTTTTGAAGGAGCAGTTTTGAAACACTCTTTTTCTGGAATCTGCAAGAGGATATTTGCCTAGCCTTGAGGATTTCGTTGGAAACGGGATTGTCTTCAGATCAAATCTAGACAGAAGCATTCTCAGAAACTTCTTTGGGATGTTTGCATTCAAGTCACAGAGTAGAACATTCCCTTTGGTAGAGCAGGTTTGAAACACTCTTTTTTTAGTATATGGAAGTGGACATTTGGAGCGCATTCAGGCCTACGTTGGAAAAGGAAATATCTTCCCATAACAACTAGACAGAAGCATTCTCAGAAACTAGTTTCTGATGTGTGTCCTCAACTAACACAGTTGCACATTTCTTTAGACAGAACAGTTTTGAAACACTCTTTTTGTGGAATCTGCAAGTGGCTATTTGGCTAGATTTGAGGATTTCGTTGGAAACGGGATTACATATAAAAAGCAGTCAGCAGCATTCTCAGAAAGTTCTTTGTGATGATTGCATTCAAGTCACAGAATTGAACATTCCCTTTCACAGAGCAGGTTTGAAATACTCTTTTTTAGTGTGTGTAATTGGACATTTGGAGCACTTTCCGGCCTAAGGTGAAAAAGGAAATATCTTCCCATAAAAACTAGACAGAAGCATTCTCAGAAACTTACTCGTGATGTGTGTCCTCCACTAAATGAGTAGAACCTTTCTTTTCATAGAGAAGTTTTGAAACGCTCTTTTTGTAGAATCTGCAAGAGGATATTTGCATAGCTTTGAGGATTTCGTGGGAAACGGGATTGTCTTCAGGTAAAATCTAGACAGAAGCATTCTGAGAAACTTCTTTGGGATGTTTGCATTCAAGTCACAGAGTAGAACATTCCCTTTGGTAGAGCAGGTTTGAAACACTCTTTTTGTATTATCTGGAAGTGGACATTTGGAGCGCTTTCAGGCCTATGTTGGAAAGGGAAATATCTTCCCGTAACAACTAGGCAGAAGCATTCTCAGAAACTTATTTGAGATGTGTGTACTCAACTAAGAGAATTGAATCACCGTTTTGAAGGAGCAGTTTTGAAACACTCTTTTTCTGGAATCTGCAAGAGGATATTTGCCTAGCCTTGAGGATTTCGTTGGAAACGGGATTGTCTTTAGATCAAATCTAGACAGAAGCATTCTCAGAAACTTCTTTGGGATGTTTGCATTCAAGTCACAGAGTAGAACATTCCCTTTGGTAGAGCAGGTTTGAAACACTCTTTTTTTAGTATATGGAAGTGGACATTTGGAGCGCTTTCAGGCCTACGTTGGAAAAGGAAATATCTTCCCATAACAACTAGACAGAAAGCATTCTCAGAAACTAGTTTCTGATGTGTGTCCTCAACTAACACAGTTGAACTTTTCTTTAGACAGAACAGTTTTGAAACACTCTTTTTGTGGAATCTGCAAGTGGATATTTGGCTAGATTTGAGGATTTCGTTGGAAACGGGATTACATATAAAAAGCAGACAGCAGCATTCTCAGAAAGTTCTTTGTGATGATTGCATTCAAGTCACAGAATTGAACATTCTCTTTCACAGAGCAGGTTTGAAACACTCTTTTTGTAGTGTGTGTAAGTGGACATTTGGAGCGCTTTCCGGCCTAAGGTGAAAAAGGAAATATCTTCCCATAAAAACTAGACAGAAGCATTCTCAGAAACTTACTCGTGATGTGTGTCCTCAACTAAAGGAGTAGAACCTTTCTTTTCATAGAGAAGTTTTGAAACGCTCTTTTTGTGGAATCTGCAAGTGGATATTTGGCTAGTTTTGAGGATTTCGTTGGAAGCGGGAATTCATACAAATTGCAGACTGCAGCGTTCTGAGAAACATCTTTGTGATGTTTGTATTCAGGACACAGAGTTGAACATTCCCTATCATAGAGCAGGTTGGAATCACTCCTTTTGTAGTATCTGGAAGTGGACATTTGGAGCGCTTTCAGGCCTATGTTGGAAAAGGAAATATCTTCCCATAACAACTAGACAGAAGCATTCTCAGAAACTTATTTGAGATGTGTGTACTCAACTAAGAGAATTGAACCACCGTTTTGAAGGAGCAGTTTTGAAACACTCTTTTTCTGGAATCTGCAAGTGGATATTTGGCTAGCTTTGGGGATTTCGCTGGAAGCGGGAATACATATAAAAAGCACACAGCAGCGTTCTGAGTAAACTGCTTTCTGATGTTTGCATTCAAGTCAAAAGTTGAACACTCCCTTTCATAGAGCAGTCCTGAAACACCCCTTTTGTAGTATCTGGAACTGGACTTTTGGAGCGCTTTCAGGGCTAAGGTGAAAAAGGAAATATCTTCCCATAAAAACTGGACAGAAGCATTCTCAGAAACTTGTTTATGCTGTATCTACTCAACTAACAAAGTTGAACCTTTCTTTTGATAGAGCAGTTTTGAAATGCTCTTTTTGTGGAATCTGCAAGTGGATATTTGGCTAGTTTTGAGGATTTCGTTGGAAGCGGGAATTCATACAAATTGCAGACTGCAGCGTTCTGAGAAACATCTTTGTGATGTTTGTATTCAGGACAGAGAGTTGAACATTCCCTATCATAGAGCAGGTTGGAATCACTCCTTTTGTAGTATCTGGAAGTGGACATTTGGAGCGCTTTCAGGCCTATGTTGAAAAAGGAAATATCTTCCCATAACAACTAGACACAAGCATTCTCAGAAACTTGTTTGTGATGTGTGCCCTCTACTGACAGAGTTGAACCTTTCTTTTCATAGAGCAGTTTTGAAACACTCTTTTTGTAGAATCTGCAAGAGGATATTTGCATAGCTTTGAGGATTTCGTGGGAAACGGGATTGTCTTCAGGTAAAATCTAGACAGAAGCATTCTCAGAAACTTCTTTGGGATGTTTGCATTCAAGTCACAGAGCAGAACATTCCCTTTGGTAGAGCAGGTTTGAATCACTCCTTTTGTAGTATCTGGAAGTGGACATTTGGAGCGCTTTCAGGCCCATGTTGGAAAGGGAAATATCTTCCCGTAACAACTAGGCAGAAGCATTCTCAGAAACTTATTTGAGATGTGTGTACTCAACTAAGAGAATTGAACCACCGTTTTCAAGGAGCAGTTTTGAAACACTCTTTTTCTGGAATCTGCAAGAGTATATTTGCCTAGCCTTGAGGATTTCGTTGGAAACGGGATTGTCTTCAGATCAAATCTAGACAGAAGCATTCTCAGAAACTTCTTTGGGATGTTTGCATTCAAGTCACAGAGTAGAAAATTCCCTTTGGTAGAGCAGGTTTGAAACACTCTTTTTTTAGTATATGGAAGTGGACATTTGGAGCGCTTTCAGGCCTACGTTGGAAAAGGAAATATCGTCCCATAACAACTAGACAGAAGCATTCTCAGAAACTAGTTTCTGATGTGTGTCCTCAACTAACACAGTTGTACATTTCTTTAGACAGAACAGTTTTGAAACACTCTTTTTGTGGAATCTGCAAGTGGATATTTGGCTAGATTTGAGGATTTCGTTGGAAACGGGATTACATATAAAAAGCAGACAGCAGCATTCTCAGAAAGTTCTTTGTGATGATTGCATTCAAGTCACAGAATTGAACATTCCCTTTCACAGAGCAGGTTTGAAACACTCTTTTTGTAGTGTGTGTAAGTGGACATTTGGAGCGCTTTCCGGCCTAAGGTGAAAAAGGACATATCTTCCCATAAAAACTAGACAGAAGCATTCTCAGAAACTTACTCGTGATGTGTGTCCTCAACTAAAGGAGTAGAACCTTTCTATTCATAGAGAAGTTTTGAAACGCTCTTTTTGTGGAATCTCCAAGTGGATATTTGGCTAGTTTTGAGGATTTCGTTGGAAGCGGGAATTCATACAAATTGCAGACTGCAGCGTTCTGAGAAACATCTTTGTGATGTTTGTATTCAAGACACAGAGATGAACATTCCCTATCATAGAGCAGGTTGGAATCACTCCTTTTGTAGTATCTGGAAGTGGACATTTGGAGCGCTTTCAGGCCTATGTTGAAAAAGGAAATATCTTCCCATAACAACTAGACACAAGCATTCTCAGAAACTTGTTTGTGATGTGTGCCCTCTACTGACAGAGTTGAACCTTTCTTTTCATAGAGCAGTTTTGAAACACTCTTTTTGTAGAATCTGCAAGAGGATATTTGCATAGCTTTGAGGATTTCGTGGGAAACGGGATTGTCTTCAGGTAAAATCTAGACAGAAGCATTCTCAGAAACTTCTTTGGGATGTTTGCATTCAAGTCACAGAGTAGAACATTCCCTTTGGTAGAGCAGGTTTGAAACACTCTTTTTGTAGTATCTGGAAGTGGACATTTGGAGCGCTTTCAGGCCTATGTTGGAAAGGGAAATATCTTCCCGTAACAACTAGGCAGAAGCATTCTCAGAAACTTATTTGAGATGTGTGTACTCAACTAAGAGAATTGAACCACCGTTTTGAAGGAGCAGTTTTGAAACACTCTTTTTCTGGAATCTGCAAGAGTATATTTGCCTAGCCTTGAGGATTTCGTTGGAAACGGGATTGTCTTCAGATCAAATCTAGACAGAAGCATTCTCAGAAACTTCTTTGGGATGTTTGTATTCAAGTCACAGAGTAGAACATTCCCTTTGGTAGAGCAGGTTTGAAACACTCTTTTTTTAGTATATGGAAATGGACATTTGGAGCGCTTTCAGCCCTACGTTGGAAAAGGAAATATCTTCCCATAACAACTAGACAGAAGCATTCTCAGAAACTAGTTTCTGATGTGTGTCCTCAACTAACACAGTTGAACTTTTCTTTAGACAGAACAGTTTTGAAACACTCTTTTTGTGGAATCTGCAAGTGGATATTTGGCTAGATTTGAGGATTTCGTTGGAAACGGGATTACATATAAAAAGCAGACAGCAGCATTCTCAGAAAGTTCTTTGTGATGATTGCATTCAAGTCACAGAATTGAACATTCCCTTTCACAGAGCAGGTTTGAAACACTCTTTTTGTAGTGTGTGTAAGTGGACATTTGGAGCGATTTCCGGCCTAAGGTGAAAAAGGAAATATCTTCCCATAAAAACTAGACAGAAGCATTCTCAGAAACTTACTCGTGATGTGTGTCCTCAACTAAAGGAGTAGAACCTTTCTATTCGTAGAGAAGTTTTGAAATGCTCTTTTTGTGGAATCTCCAAGTGGATATTTGGCTAGTTTTGAGGATTTCGTTGGAAGCGGGAATTCATACAAATTGCAGACTGCAGCGTTATGAGAAACATCTTTGTGATGTTTGTATTCAGGACACAGAGATGAACATTCCCTATCATAGAGCAGGTTGGAATCACTCCTTTTGTAGTATCTGGAAGTGGACATTTGGAGCGCTTTCAGGCCTATGTTGAAAAAGGAAATATCTTCCCATAACAACTAGACACAAGCATTCTCAGAAACTTGTTTGTGATGTGTGCCCTCTACTGACAGAGTTGAACCTTTCTTTTCATAGAGCAGTTTTGAAACACTCTTTTTGTAGAATCTGCAAGAGGATATTTGCATAGCTTTGAGGATTTCGTGGGAAACGGGATTGTCTTCAGGTAAAATCTAGACAGAAGCATTCTCAGAAACTTCTTTGGGATGTTTGCATTCAAGTCACAGAGTAGAACATTCCCTTTGGTAGAGCAGGTTTGAAACCCTCTTTTTGTAGTATCTGGAAGTGGACATTTGGAGCGCTGTCAGGCCCATGTTGGAAAGGGAAATATCTTCCCGTAACAACTAGGTAGAAGCATTCTCAGAAACTTATTTGAGATGTGTGTACTCAACTAAGAGAATTGAACCACCGTTTTGAAGGAGCAGTTTTGAAACACTCTTTTTCTGGAATCTGCAAGAGTATATTTGCCTAGCCTTGAAGATTTCGTTGGAAACGGGATTGTCTTCAGATAAAATCTAGACAGAAGCATTCTCAGAAACTTCTTTGGGATGTTTGCATTCAAGTCACAGAGTAGAACATTCCCTTTGGTAGAGCAGGTTTGAAACACTCTTTTTTTAGTATATGGAAGTGGACATTTGGAGCGCTTTCAGGCCTACGTTGGAAAAGGAAATATCTTCCCATAACAACTAGACAGAAGCATTCTCAGAAACTAGTTTCTGATGTGTGTCCTCAACTAACACAGTTGAACTTTTCTTTAGACAGAACAGTTTTGAAACACTCTTTTTGTGGAATCTGCAAGTGGATATTTGGCTAGATTTGAGGATTTCGTTGGAAACGGGATTACATATAAAAAGCAGACAGCAGCATTCTCAGAAACTTCTTTGTGATGATTGCATTCAAGTCACAGAATTGAACATTCCCTTTCACAGAGCAGGTTTGAAACACTCTTTTTGTAGTGTGTGTAAGTGGACATTTGGAGCACTTTCCGGCCTAAGGTGAAAAAGGAAATATCTTCCCATAAAAACTAGACAGAAGCATTCTCAGAAACTTACTCGTGATGTGTGTCCTCAACTAAAGGAGTAGAACCTTTCTTTTCATAGAGAAGTTTTGAAACGCTCTTTTTGTGGAATCTGCAAGTGGATATTTGGCTAGTTTGGAGGATTTCGTTGGAAGCGGGAATTCATACAAATTGCAGACTGCAGCGTTCTGAGAAACATCTTTGTGATGTTTGTATTCAGGACACAGAGTTGAACATTCCCTATCATAGAGCAGGTTGGAATCACTCCTTTTGTAGTATCTGGAAGTGGACATTTGGAGCGCTTTCAGGCCTATGTTGGAAAAGGAAATATCTTCCCATAACAACTAGACAGAAGCATTCTCAGAAACTTATTTGAGATGTGTGTACTCAACTAAGAGAATTGAACCACCGTTTTGAAGGAGCAGTTTTGAAACTCTCTTTTTCTGGAATCTGCAAGTGGATATTTGGCTAGCTTTGGGGATTTCGCTGGAAGCGGGAATACATATAAAAAGCACAACAGCAGCGTTCTGAGAAACTGCTTTCTGATGTTTGCATTCAAGTCAAAAGTTGAACACTCCCCTTTCATAGAGCAGTCCTGAAACACTCCTTTTGTAGTATCTGGAACTGGACTTTTGGAGCGCTTTCAGGGCTAAGGTGAAAAAGGAAATATCTTCCCATAAAAACTGGACAGAAGCATTCTCACAAACTTGTTTATGCTGTATCTACACAACTAACAAAGTTGAACCTTTCTTTTGATAGAGCAGTTTTGAAATGCTCTTTTTGTGGAATCTGCAAGTGGATATTTGGCTAGTTTTGAGGATTTCGTTGGAAGCGGGAATTCATACAAGTTGCAGTTTGCAGCGTTCTGAGAAACATCTTTGTGATGATTGTATTCAGGACACAGAGTTGAACATTCCCTATCATAGAGCAGGTTTGAATCACTCCTTTTGTAGTATCTGGAAGTGGACATTTGGAGCGCTTTCAGGCCTATGTTGAAAAAGGAAATATCTTCCCATAACAACTAGACAGAAGCATTCTCAGAAACTTGTTTGTGATGTGTGCCCTCTACTGACAGAGTTGAACCTTTCTTTTCATAGAGCAGTTTCGAAACACTCTTTTTGTAGAATCTGCAAGAGGATATTTGCATAGCTCTGAGGATTTCATGGGAAACGGGATTGTCTTCAGGTAAAATCTAGACAGAAGCATTCTCAGTAAACTTCTTTGGGATGTTTGCATTCAAGTCAAAGAGTAGAACATTCCCTTTGGTAGAGTAGGTTTGAAACACTCTTTTTGTAGTATCTGGAAGTGGACATTTGGAGCGCTTTCAGGCCTATGTTGGAAAGGGAAATATCTTCCCGTAACAACTAGGCAGAAGCATTCTCAGAAACTTATTTGAGATGTGTGTACTCAACTAAGAGAATTGAACCACCGTTTTGAAGGAGCAGTTTTGAAACACTCTTTTTCTAGAATCTGCAAGAGGATATTTGCCTAGCCTTGAGGATTTCGTTGGAAACGGGATTGTCTTCAGATCAAATCTAGACAGAAGCATTCTCAGAAACTTCTTTGGGATGTTTGCATTCAAGTCACAGAGTAGAACATTCCCTTTGGTAGAGCAGGTTTGAAACACTCTTTTTTTAGTATATGGAAGTGGACATTTGGAGCGCTTTCAGGCCTACGTTGGAAAAGGAAATATCTTCCCATAACAACTAGACAGAAGCATTCTCAGAAACTAGTTTCTGATGTGTGTCCTCAACTAACACAGTTGAACTTTTCTTTAGACAGAACAGTTTTGAAACACTCTTTTTGTAGAATTTGCAAGTGGATATTTGGCTAGATTTGAGGATTTCGTTGGAAACGGGATTACATATAAAAAGCAGACAGCAGCATTCTCAGAAAGTTCTTTGTGATGATTGCATTCAAGTCACAGAATTGAACATTCCCTTTCACAGAGCAGGTTTGAAACACTCTTTTTGTAGTGTGTGTAAGTGGACATTTGGAGCGATTTCCGGCCTAAGGTGAAAAAGGAAATATCTTCCCATAAAAACTAGACAGAAGCATTCTCAGAAACTTACTCGTGATGTGTGTCCTCAACTAAAGGAGTAGAACCTTTCTATTCATAGAGAAGTTTTCAAACGCTCTTTTTGTGGAATCTCCAAGTGGATATTTGGCTAGTTTTGAGGATTTCGTTTGAAGCGGGAATTCATACAAATTGCAGACTGCAGCGTTTTGAGAAACATCTTTGTGATGTTTGTATTCAGGACACAGAGATGAACATTCCCTATCATAGAGCAGGTTGGAATCACTCCTTTTGTAGTATCTGGAAGTGGACATTTGGAGCGCTTTCAGGCCTATGTTGAAAAAGGAAATATCTTCCCATAACAACTAGACACAAGCATTCTCAGAAACTTGTTTGTGATGTGTGCCCTCTACTGACAGAGTTGAACCTTTCTTTTCATAGAGCAGTTTTGAAACACTCTTTTTGTAGAATCTGCAAGAGGATATTTGCATAGCTTTGAGGATTTCGTGGGAAACGGGATTGTCTTCAGGTAAAATCTAGACAGAAGCATTCTCAGAAACTTCTTCGGGATGTTTGCATTCAAGTCACAGAGTAGAACATTCCCTTTGGTAGAGCAGGTTTGAAACACTCTTTTTGTAGTATCTGGAAGTGGACATTTGGAGCGCTTTCAGGCCTATGTTGGAAAGGGAAATATCTTCCCGTAAAAACTAGGCAGAAGCATTCTCAGAAACTTATTTGAGATGTGTGTACTCAACTAAGAGAATTGAATCACCGTTTTGAAGGAGCAGGTTTGAAACACTCTTTTTCTGGAATCTGCAAGAGGATATTTGCCTAGCCTTGAGGATTTCGTTGGAAACGGGATTGTCTTCAGATCAAATCAAGACAGAAGCATTCTCAGAAACTTCTTTGGGATGTTTGCATTCAAGTCACAGAGTAGAACATTCCCTTTGGTAGAGCAGGTTTGAAACACTCTTTTTTTAGTATATGGAAGTGGACATTTGGAGCGCTTTCAGGCCTACGTTGGAAAAGGAAATATCTTCCCATAACAACTAGACAGAAGCATTCTCAGAAACTAGTTTCTGATGTGTGTCCTCAACTAACACAGTTGAACTTTTCTTTAGACAGAACAGTTTTGAAACACTCTTTTTGTGGAATCTGCAAGTGGATATTGGGCTAGATTTGAGGATTTCGTTGGAAACGGGATTACATATAAAAAGCAGACAGCAAGCATTCTCAGAAACTTGTTTGTGATGATTGCATTCAAGTCACAGAATTGAACATTCCCTTTCACAGAGCAGGTTTGAAACACTCTTTTTGTAGTGTGTGTAAGTGGACATTTGGAGCGCTTTCCGGCCTAAGGTGAACGAGGAAATATCTTCCCATAAAAACTAGACAGAAGCATTCTCAGAAACTTACTCGTGATGTGTGTCCTCAACTAAAGGAGTAGAACCTTTCTTTTCATAGAGAAGTTTTGAAACGCTCTTTTTGTGGAATCTGCAAGTGGATATTTGGCTAGTTTTGAGGATTTCGTTGGAAGCGGGAATTCATACAAATTGCAGACTGCAGCGTTCTGAGAAACATCTTTGTGATGTTTGTATTCAGGACACAGAGTTGAACATTCCCTATCATAGAGCAGGTTGGAATCACTCCTTTTGTAGTATCTGGAAGTGGACATTTGGAGCGCTTTCAGGCCTATGTTGGAAAAGGAAATATCTTCCCATAACAACTAGACAGAAGCATTCTCAGAAACTTATTTGAGATGTGTGTACTCAACTAAGAGAATTGAACCACCGTTTTGAAGGAGCAGTTTTGAAACTCTCTTTTTCTGGAATCTGCAAGTGGATATTTGGCTAGCTTTGGGGATTTCGCTGGAAGCGGGAATACATATAAAAAGCACACAGCAGCGTTCTGAGAAACTGCTTTCTGATGTTTGCATTCAAGTCAAAAGTTGAACACTCCCTTTCATAGAGCAGTCTTGAAACACCCCTTTTGTAGTATCTGGAACTGGACTTTTGGAGCGATTTCAGGGCTAAGGTGAAAAAGGAAATATCTTCCCATAAAAACTGGACAGAAGCATTCTCAGAAACTTGGTTATGCTGTATCTACTCAACTAACAAAGTTGAACCTTTCTTTTGATAGAGCAGTTTTGAAATGGTCTTTTTGTGGAATCTGCAAGTGGATATTTGGCTAGTTTTGAGGATTTCGTTGGAAGCGGGAATTCATACAAATTGCAGACTGCAGCGTTCTGAGAAACATCTTTGTGATGTTTGTATTCAGGACACAGAGTTGGACATTCCCTATCGTAGAGCAGGTTGGAATCACTCCTTTTGTAGTATCTGGAAGTGGACATTTGGAGCGCTTTCCGGCCTATGTTGAAAAAGGAAATATCTTCCCAAAACAACTAGACAGAAGCATTCTCAGAAACTTGTTTGTGATGTGTGCCCTCTACTGACAGAGTTGAACCTTTCTTTTCATAGAGCAGTTTTGAAACACTCTTTTTGTAGAATCTGCAAGAGGATATTTGCATAGCTTTGAGGATTTCGTGGGAAACGGGATTGTCTTCAGGTAAAATCTAGACAGAAGCATTCTCAGAAACTTCTTTGGGATGTTTGCATTCAAGTCACAGAGTAGAACATTCCCTTTGGTAGAGCAGGTTTGAAACACTCTTTTTGTAGTATCTGGAAGTGGACATTTGGAGCGCTTTCAGGCCTATGTTGGAAAGGGAAATATCTTCCCGTAACAACTAGGCAGAAGCATTCTCAGAAACTTATTTGAGATGTGTGTACTCAACTAAGAGAATTGAACCACGGTTTTGAAGGAGCAGTTTTGAAACACTCTTTTTCTGGAATCTGCAAGAGGATATTTGCCTAGCCTTGAGGATTTCGTTGGAAACGGGATTGTCTTCAGATCAAATCTAGACAGAAGCATTCTCAGAAACTTCTTTGGGATGTTTGCATTCAAGTCACAGAGTAGAACATTCCCTTTGGTAGAGCAGGTTTGAAACACTCTTTTTTTAGTATATGGAAGTGGACATTTGGAGCGCTTTCAGGCCTACGTTGGAAAAGGAAATATCTTCCCATAACAACTAGACAGAAGCATTCTCAGAAACTAGTTTCTGATGTGTGTCCTCAACTAACACAGTTGAACATTTCTTTAGACAGAACAGTTTTGAAACACTCTTTTTGTGGAATCTGCAAGTGGCTATTTGGCTAGATTTGAGGATTTCGTTGGAAACGGGATTACATATAAAAAGCAGACAGCAGCATTCTCAGAAAGTTCTTTGGGATGATTGCATTCAAGTCACAGAATTGAACATTCCCTTTCACAGAGCAGGTTTCAAACACTCTTTTTGTAGTGTGTGTAAGTGGACATTTGGAGCACTTTCCGGCCTAAGGTGAAAAAGGAAATATCTTCCCATAAAAACTAGACAGAAGCATTCTCAGAAACTTACTCGTGATGTGTGTCCTCAACTAAAGGAGTAGAACCTTTCTATTGATAGAGAAGTTTTGAAACGCTCTTTTTGTGGAATCTCCAAGTGGATATTTGGCTAGTTTTGAGGATTTCGTTGGAAGCGGGAATTCATACAAATTGCAGACTGCAGCGTTCTGAGAAACATCTTTGTGATGTTTGTATTCAAGACACAGAGATGAACATTCCCTATCATAGAGCATGTTGGAATCACTCCTTTTGTAGTATCTGGAAGTGGACATTTGGAGCGCTTTCAGGCCTATGTTGAAAAAGGAAATATCTTCCCATAACAACTAGACACAAGCATTCTCAGAAACTTGTTTGTGATGTGTGCCCTCTACTGACAGAGTTGAACCTTTCTTTTCATAGAGCAGTTTTGAAACACTCTTTTATAGAATCCGCAAGAGGATATTTGCATAGCTTTGAGGATTTCGTGGGAAACGGGATTGTCTTCAGGTAAAATGTAGACAGAAGCATTCTCAGAAACTTCTTTGGGATGTTTGCATTCAAGTCACAGAGTAGAACATTCCCTTTGGTGGAGCAGGTTTGAAACACTCTTTTTGTAGTATCTGGAAGTGGACATTTGGAGCGCTTTCAGGCCCATGTTGGAAAGGGAAATATCTTCCCGTAACAACTAGGCAGAAGCATTCTCAGAAACTTTTTTGAGATGTGTGTACTCAACTAAGAGAATTGAACCACCGTTTTGAAGGAGCAGTTTTGAAACCCTCTTTTTCTGGAATCTGCAAGAGTATATTTGCCTAGCCTTGAGGATTTCGTTGGAAACGGGATTGTCTTCAGATAAAATCTAGACAGAAGCATTCTCAGAAACTTATTTGGGATGTTTGCATTCAAGTCACAGAGTAGAACATTCCCTTTGGTAGAGCAGGTTTGAAACACTCTTTTTTTAGTGTATGGAAGTGGACATTTGGAGCGCTTACAGGCCTACGTTGGAAAAGGAAATATCTTCCCATAACAACTAGACAGAAGCATTCTCAGAAACTAGTTTCTGATGTGTGTCCTCAACTAACACAGTTGAACTTTTCTTTAGACAGAACAGTTTTGAAACACTCTTTTTGTGGAATCTGCAAGTGGATATTGGGCTAGATTTGAGGATTTCGTTGGAAACGGGATTACATATAAAAAGCAGACAGCAGCATTCTCAGAAAGTTCTTTGTGATGATTGCATTCAAGTCACAGAATTGAACATTCCCTTTCACAGAGCAGGTTTGAAACACTCTTTTTGTAGTGTGTGTAAGTGGACATTTGGAGCGCTTTCCGGCCTAAGGTGAAAAAGGAAATATCTTCCCATAAAAACTAGACAGAAGCATTCTCAGAAACTTACTCGTGATGTGTTTCCTCAACTAAAGGAGTAGAACCTTTCTATTCATAGAGAAGTTTTGAAACGCTCTTTTTGTGGAATCTCCAAGTGGATATTTGGCCAGTTTTGAGGATTTCGTTGGAAGCGGGAATTCATCCAAATTGCAGACTGCAGCGTTCTGAGAAACATCTTTGTGATGTTTGTATTCAGGACACAGAGATGAACATTCCCTATCATAGAGCAGGTTGGAATCACTCCTTTTGTAGTATCTGGAAGTGGACAATTGGAGCGCTTTCAGGCCTATGTTGAAAAAGGAAATATCTTCCCATAACAACTAGACACAAGCATTCTCAGAAACTTATTTGAGATGTGTGTACTCAACTAAGAGAATTGAACCACCGTTTTGAAGGAGCAGTTTTGAAACTCTCTTTTTCTGGAATCTGCAAGTGGATATTTGGCTAGCTTTGGGGATTTCGCTGGAAGCGGGAATACATATAAAAAGCACACAGTAGCGTTCTGAGAAACTGCTTTCTGATGTTTGCATTCAAGTCAAAAGTTGAACACTCCCTTTCATAGAGCAGTCTTGAAACACCCCTTTTGTAGTATCTGGAACTGGACTTTTGGAGCGATTTCAGGGCTAAGGTGAAAAAGGAAATATCTTCCCATAAAAACTGGACAGAAGCATTCTCAGAAACTTACTCGTGATGTGTGTCCTCAACTAAAGGAGTAGAACCTTTCTTTTCATAGAGAAGTTTTGAAACGCTCTTTTTGTGGAATCTGCAAGTGGATATTTGGCTAGTTTTGTGGATTTCGTTGGAAGCGGGAATTCATACAAATTGCAGACTGCAGCGTTCTGAGAAACATCTTTGTGATGTTTGTATTCAGGACACAGAGTTGAACATTCCCTATCATAGAGCAGGTTGGAATCACTCCTTTTGTAGTATCTGAAAGAGGACATTTGGAGCGCTTTCAAGCCTATGTTGGAAAAGGAAATATCTTCCCATAACAACTAGACAGAAGCATTCTCAGAAACTTGTTTGTGATGTGTGCCCTCTACTGACTGAGTTGAACCTTTCTTTTCATAGAGTAGTTTTGAAACACTCTTTTTGTAGAATCTGCAAGAGGATATTTGCATAGCTTTGAGGATTTCGTGGGAAACTGGATTGTCTTCTGGTAAAATCTAGACAGAAGCATTCTCAGAAACTTCTTTGGGATGTTTGCATTCAAGTCACAGAGTAGAACATTCCCTTTGGTAGAGCAGGTTTGAAACACTCTTTTTGTAGTATCTGGAAGTGGACATTTGGAGCGCTTTCAGGCCTATGTTGGAAAGGGAAATATCTTCCCGTAACAACTAGGCAGAAGCATTCTCAGAAACTTATTTGAGATGTGTGTACTCAACTAAGAGAATTGAACCACCGTTTTGAAGGAGCAGTTTTGAAACACTCTTTTTCTGGAATCTGCAAGAGGATATTTGCCTAGCCTTGAGGATTTCGTTGGAAACGGGATTGTCTTCAGATCAAATCTAGACAGAAGCATTCTCAGAAACTTCTTTGGGATGTTTGCATTCAAGTCACAGAGTAGAACATTCCCTTTGGTAGAGCAGGTTTGAAACACTCTTTTTTTAGTATATGGAAGTGGACATTTGGAGCGCTTTCAGGCCTACGTTGGAAAAGGAAATATCTTCCCATAACAACTAGACAGAAGCATTCTCAGAAACTAGTTTCTGATGTGTGTCCTCAACTAACACAGTTGAACATTTCTTTAGACAGAACAGTTTTGAAACACTCTTTTTGTGGAATCTGCAAGTGGCTATTTGGCTAGATTTGAGGATTTCGTTGGAAACGGGATTACATATAAAAAGCAGACAGCAGCATTCTCAGAAACTTCTTTGTGATGATTGCATTCAAGTCACAGAATTGAACATTCCCTTTCACAGAGCAGGTTTGAAACACTCTTTTTGTAGTGTGTGTAAGTGGACATTTGGAGCACTTTCCGGCCTAAGGTGAAAAAGGAAATATCTTCCCATAAAAACTAGACAGAAGCATTCTCAGAAACTTACTCGTGATGTGTGTCCTCAACTAAAGGAGTAGAACCTTTCTTTTCATAGAGAAGTTTTGAAACGCTCTTTTTGTGGAATCTGCAAGTGGATATTTGGCTAGTTTGGAGGATTTCGTTGGAAGCGGGAATTCATACAAATTGCAGACTGCAGCGTTCTGAGAAACATCTTTGTGATGTTTGTATTCAGGACAGAGAGTTGAACATTCGCTATCATAGAGCAGGTTTGAATCACTCCTTTTGTAGTATCTGGAAGTGGACATTTGGAGCGCTTTCAGGCCTATGTTGGAAAAGGAAATATCTTCCCATAACAAATAGACAGAAGCATTCTCAGAAACTTATTTGAGATGTGTGTACTCAACTAAGAGAATTGAACCACCGTTTTGAAGGAGCAGTTTTGAAACCCTCTTTTTCTGGAATCTGCAAGTGGATATTTGGCTAGCTTTGGGGATTTCGCTGGAAGCGGGAATACATATAAAAAGCACACAGCAGCGTTCTGAGAAACTGCTTTCTGATGTTTGCATTCAAGTCAAAAGTTGAACACTCCCTTTCATAGAGCAGTCTTGAAACACCCCTTTTGTAGTATCTGGAAGTGGACATTTGGAGCGCTTTCAGGGCTAAGGTGAAAAAGGAAATATCTTCCCATAAAAACTGGACAGAAGCATTCTCAGAAACTTGTTTATGCTGTATCTACTCTACTAACAAAGTTGAACCTTTCTTTTGATAGGGCAGTTTTGAAATGCTCTTTTTGTGGAATCTGCAAGTGGATATTTGGCTAGTTTTGAGGATTTCGTTGGAAGCTGGAATTCATACAAATTGCAGACTGCAGCGTTCTGAGAAACATCTTTGTGATGTTTGTATTCAGGACACAGAGTTGAACATTCCCTATCATAGAGCAGGTTGGAATCACTCCTTTTGTAGTATCTGGAAGTGGACATTTGGAGCGCTTTCAGGCCCATGTTGGAAAGGGAAATATCTTCCCGTAACAACTAGGCAGAAGCATTCTCAGAAACTTATTTGAGATGTGTGTACTCAACTAAGAGAATTGAACCACCGTTTTGAAGGAGCAGTTTTGAAACACTCTTTTTCTGGAATCTGCAAGAGTATATTTGCCTAGCCTTGAGGATTTCGTTGGAAACGGGATTGTCTTCAGATAAAATCTAGACAGAAGCATTCTCAGAAACTTCTTTGGGATGTTTGCATTCAAGTCACAGAGTAGAACATTCCCTTTGGTAGAGCAGGTTTGAAACACTCTTTTTTTAGTATATGGAAGTGGACATTTGGAGCGCTTTCAGGCCTACGTTGGAAAAGGAAATATCTTCCCATAACAACTAGACAGAAGCATTCTCAGAAACTAGTTTCTGATGTGTGTCCTCAACTAACACAGTTGTACATTTCTTTAGACAGAACAGTTTTGAAACACTCTTTTTGTGGAATCTGCAAGTGGATATTGGGCTAGATTTGAGGATTTCGTTGGAAACGGGATTACATATAAAAAGCAGTCAGCAGCATTCTCAGAAAGTTCTTTGTGATGATTGCATTCAAGTCACAGAATTGAACATTCCCTTTCATAGAGCAGGTTTGAAACACTCTTTTTGTAGTGTGTGTAAGTGGACATTTGGAGCGCTTTCCGGCCTAAGGTGAAAAAGGACATATCTTCCCATAAAAACTAGACAGAAGCATTCTCAGAAACTTACTCGTGATGTGTGTCCTCAACTAAAGGAGTAGAACCTTTCTATTCATAGAGAAGTTTTGAAACGCTCTTTTTGTGGAATCTCCAAGTGGATATTTGGCTAGTTTTGAGGATTTCGTTGGAAGCGGGAATTCATACAAATTGCAGACTGCAGCGTTCTGAGAAACATCTTTGTGATGTTTGTATTCAGGACACAGAGATGAACATTCCCTATCATAGAGCAGGTTGGAATCACTCCTTTTGTAGTATCTGGAAGTGGACATTTGGAGCGCTTTCAGGCCTATGTTGAAAAAGGAAATATCTTCCCATAACAACTAGACACAAGCATTCTCAGAAACTTGTTTGTGATGTGTGCCCTCTACTGACAGAGTTGAACCTTTCTTTTCATAGAGCAGTTTTGAAACACTCTTTTTGTAGAATCCGCAAGAGGATATTTGCATAGCTTTGAGGATTTCGTGGGAAACGGGATTGTCTTCACGTAAAATCTAGAAAGAAAGCATTCTCAGAAACTTCTTTGGGATGTTTGCATTCAAGTCACAGAGTAGAACATTCCCTTTGGTAGAGCAGGTTTGAAACCCTCTTTTTGTAGTATCTGGAAGTGGACATTTGGAGCACTTTCAGGCCCATGTTGGAAAGGGAAATATCTTTCCGTAACAACTAGGCAGAAGCATTCTCAGAAACTTATTTGAGATGTGTGTACTCAACTAAGAGAATTGAACCACCGTTTTGAAGGAGCAGTTTTGAAACACTCTTTTTCTGGAATCTGCAAGAGTATATTTGCCTAGCCTTGAGGATTTCGTTGGAAACGGGATTGTCTTCAGAGAAAATCTAGACAGAAGCATTCTCAGAAACTTCTTTGGGATGTTTGCATTCAAGTCACAGAGTAGAACATTCCCTTTGGTAGAGCAGGTTTGAAACACTCTTTTTTTAGTATATGGAAGTGGACATTTGGAGCGCTTTCAGGCCTACGTTGGAAAAGGAAATATCTTCCCATAACAACTAGACAGAAGCATTCTCACAAACTAGTTTCTGATGTGTGTCCTCAACTAACACAGTTGAACATTTCTTTAGACAGAACAGTTTTGAAACACTCTTTTTGTGGAATCTGCAAGTGGATATTTGGCTAGATTTGAGGATTTCGTTGGAAACGGGATTACATATAAAAAGCAGGCAGCAGCAATCTCAGAAACTTCTTTGTGATGATTGCATTCAAGTCACAGAATTGAACATTCCCTTTCACAGAGCAGGTTTGAAACACTCTTTTTGTAGTGTGTGTAAGTGGACATTTGGAGCGCTTTCCGGCCTAAGGTGAACAAGGAAATATCTTCCCATAAAAACTAGACAGAAGCATTCTCAGAAACTTACTCGTGATGTGTGTCCTCAACTAAAGGAGTAGAACCTTTCTTTTCATAGAGAAGTTTTGAAACGCTCTTTTTGTGGAATCTGCAAGTGGATATTTGGCTAGTTTTGAGGATTTCGTTGGAAGCGGGAATTCATACAAATTGCAGACTGCAGCGTTCTGAGAAACATCTTTGTGATGTTTGTATTCAGGACACAGAGTTGAACATTCCCTATCATAGAGCAGGTTGGAATCACTCCTTTTGTAGTATCTGGAAGTGGACATTTGGAGCGCTTTCAGGCCTATGTTGGAAAAGGAAATATCTTCCCATAACAACTAGACAGAAGCATTCTCAGAAACTTATTTGAGATGTGTGTACTCAACTAAGAGAATTGAACCACCGTTTTGAAGGAGCAGTTTTGAAACACTCTTTTTCTGGAATCTGCAAGAGTATATTTGCCTAGCCTTGAGGATTTCGTTGGAAACGGGATTGTCTTCAGAGAAAATCTAGACAGAAGCATTCTCAGAAACTTCTTTGGGATGTTTGCATTCAAGTCACAGAGTAGAACATTCCCTTTGGTAGAGCAGGTTTGAAACACTCTTTTTGTAGTATCTGGAAGTGGACATTTGGAGCGCTTTCAGGCCTACGTTGGAAAAGGAAATATCTTCCCATAACAACTAGACAGAAGCATTCTCAGAAACTAGTTTCTGATGTGTGTCCTCAACTAACACAGTTGAACATTTCTTTAGACAGAACAGTTTTGAAACACTCTTTTTGTGGAATCTGCAAGTGGATATTTGGCTAGATTTGAGGATTTCGTTGGAAACGGGAATACATATAAAAAGCAGACAGCAGCATTCTCAGAAAGTTCTTTGTGATGATTGCATTCAAATCACAGAATTGAACATTCCCGTTCACAGAGCAGGTTTGAAACACTCTTTTTGTAGTGTGTGTAAGTGGACATTTGGAGCGATTTCCGGCGTAAGGTGAAAAAGGAAATATCTTCCCATAAAAACTAGACAGAAGCATTCTCAGAAACTTACTCGTGATGTGTGTCCTCAACTAAAGGAGTAGAACCTTTCTTTTCATAGAGAAGTTTTGAAACGCTCTTTTTGTGGAATCTGCAAGTGGATATTTGGCTAGTTTTGAGGATTTCGTTGGAAGCGGGAATTCATACAAATTGCAGACTGCAGCGTTCTGAGAAACATCTTTGTGATGTTTGTATTCAGGACACAGAGTTGAACATTCCCTATCATAGAGCAGGTTGGAATCACTCCTTTTGTAGTATCTGGAAGTGGACATTTGGAGCGCTTTCAGGCCCTATGTTGGAAAAGGAAATATCTTCCCATAACAACTAGACAGAAGCATTCTCAGAAACTTATTTGAGATGTGTGTACTCAACTAAGAGAATTGAACCACCGTTTTGAAGGAGCAGTTTTGAAACACTCTTTTTCTGGAATCTGCAAGTGGATATTTGGCTAGCTTTGGGGATTTCGCTGGAAGCGGGAATACATATAAAAAGCACACAGCAGCGTTCTGAGAAACTGCTTTCTGATGTTTGCATTCAAGTCAAAAGTTGAACACTCCCTTTCATAGTGCAGTCCTGAAACACTTCTTTTGTAGTATCTGGAACTGGACTTTTGGAGCGCTTTCAGGGCTAAGGTGAAAAAGGAAATATCTTCCCATAAAAACTGGACAGAAGCATTCTCAGAAACTTGTTTATGCTGTATCTACTCAACTAACAAAGTTGAACCTTTCTTTTGATAGAGCAGTTTTGAAATGCTCTTTTTGTGGAATCTGCAAGTGGATATTTGGCTAGTTTTGAGGATTTCGTTGGAAGCGGGAATTCATACAAATTGCAGACTGCAGCGTTCTGAGAAACATCTTTGTGATGTTTGTATTCAGGACAGAGAGTTGAACATTCCCTATCATAGAGCAGGTTGGAATCACTCCTTTTGTAGTATCTGGAAGTGGACATTTGGAGCGCTTTCAGGCCTATGTTGAAAAAGGAAATATCTTCCCATAACAACTAGACACAAGCATTCTCAGAAACTTGTTTGTGATGTGTGCCCTCTACTGACAGAGTTGAACCTTTCTTTTCATAGAGCAGTTTTGAAACACTCTTTTTGTAGAATCTGCAAGAGGATATTTGCATAGTTTTGAGGATTTCGTGAGAAACGGGATTGTCTTCAGGTAAAATCTAGACAGAAGCATTCTCAGAAACTTCTTTGGGATGTTTGCATTCAAGTCACAGAGCAGAACATTCCCTTTGGTAGAGCAGGTTTGAAACACTCTTTTTGTAGTATCTGGAAGTGGACATTTGGAGCGCTTTCAGGCCTATGTTGGAAAGGGAAATATCTTCCCGTAACAACTAGGCAGAAGCATTCTCAGAAACTTATTTGAGATGTGTGTACTCAACTAAGAGAATTGAACCACCGTTTTGAAGGAGCAGTTTTGAAACACTCTTTTTCTGGAATCTGCAAGAGGATATTTGCCTAGCCTTGAGGATTTCGTTGGAAACGGGATTGTCTTCAGATCAAATCTAGACAGAAGCATTCTCAGAAACTTCTTTGGGATGTTTGCATTCAAGTCACAGAGTAGAACATTCCCTTTGGTAGAGCAGGTTTGAAACACTCTTTTTTTAGTATATGGAAGTGGACATTTGGAGCGCTTTCAGGCCTACGTTGGAAAAGGAAATATCTTCCCATAACAACTAGACAGAAGCATTCTCAGAAACTAGTTTCTGATGTGTGTCCTCAACTAACACAGTTGAACATTTCTTTAGACAGAACAGTTTTGAAACTCTCTTTTTGTGGAATCTGCAAGTGGCTATTTGGCTAGATTTGAGGATTTCGTTGGAAACGGGATTACATATAAAAAGCAGACAGCAGCATTCTCAGAAAGTTCTTTGTGATGATTGCATTCAAGTCACAGAATTGAACATTCCCTTTCACAGAGCAGGTTTGAAACACTCTTTTTGTAGTGTGTGTAAGTGGACATTTGGAGTACTTTCCGGCCTAAGGTGAAAAAGGAAATATCTTCCCATAAAAACTAGACAGAAGCATTCTCAGAAACTTACTCGTGATGTGTGTCCTCAACTAAAGGAGTAGAACCTTTCTTTTCATAGAGAAGTTTTGAAACGCTCTTTTTGTGGAATCTGCAAGTGGATATTTGGCTAGTTTTGAGGATTTCGTTGGAAGCGGGAATTCATACAAATTGCAGACTGCAGCGTTCTGAGAAACATCTTTGTGATGTTTGTATTCAGGACACAGAGTTGAACATTCCCTATCATAGAGCAGGTTTGAATCACTCCTTTTGTAGTATCTGGAAGTGGACATTTGGAGCGCTTTCAGGCCTATGTAGGAAAAGGAAATATCTTCCCATAACAACTAGACACAAGCATTCTCAGAAACTTGTTTGTGATGTGTGCCCTCTACTGACACAGTTGAACCTTTCTTTTCATAGAGCAGTTTTGAAACACTCTTTTTGTCGAATCTGCAAGAGGATATTTGCATAGCTTTGAGGATTTCGTGGGAAACGGGATTGTCTTCAGGTAAAATCTAGACAGAAGCATTCTCAGAAACTTCTTTGGGATGTTTGCATTCAAGTCACAGAGTAGAACATTCCCTTTGGTAGAGCAGGTTTGAAAAACTCTTTTTGTAGTATCTGGAAGTGGACATTTGGAGCGCTTTCAGGCCCATGCTGGAAAGGGAAATATCTTCCCGTAACAACTAGGCAGAAGCATTCTCAGAAACTTATTTGAGATGTGTGTACTCAACTAAGAGAATTGAACCACCGTTTTGAAGGAGCAGTTTTGAAACACTCTTTTTCTGGAATCTGCAAGAGGATATTTCCCTAGCCTTGAGGATTTCGTTGGAAACGGGATTGTCTTCAGATCAAATCTAGACAGAAGCATTCTCAGAAACTTCTTTGGGATGTTTGCATTCAAGTCACAGAGTAGAACATTCTCCTTTGGTAGAGCAGGTTTCAAACACTCTTTTTTTAGTATATGGAAGTGGACATTTGGAGCGCTTTCAGGCCTACGTTGGAAAAGGAAATATCTTCCCATAAGAACTAGACAGAAAGCATTCTCAGAAACTAGTTTCTGATGTGTGTCCTCAACTAACACAGTTGAACATTTCTTTAGACAGAACAGTTTTGAAACACTCTTTTTGTGGAATCTGCAAGTGGCTATTTGGCTACATTTGAGGATTTCGTTGGAAACGGGATTACATATAAAAAGCAGACAGCAGCATTCTCAGAAAGTTCTTTGTGATGATTGCATTCAAGTCACAGAATTGAACATTCCCTTTCACAGAGCAGGTTTGAAACACTCTTTTTGTAGTGTGTGTAAGTGGACATTTGGAGCACTTTCCGGCCTAAGGTGAAAAAGGAAATATCTTCCCATACAAACTAGACAGAAGCACTCTCAGAAACTTACTCGTGATGTGTGTCCTCAACTAAAGGAGTAGAACCTTTCTTTTCATAGAGAAGTTTTGAAACGCTCTTTTTGTGGAATCTGCAAGTGGATATTTGGCTAGTTTGGAGGATTTCGTTGGAAGCGGGAATTCATACAAATTGCAGACTGCAGCGTTCTGAGAAACATCTTTGTGATGTTTGTATTCAGGACACAGAGTTGAACATTCCCTATCATAGAGCAGGTTTGAATCACTCCTTTTGTAGTATCTGGAAGTGGACATTTGGAGCGCTTTCAGGCCTATGTTGGAAAAGGAAATATCTTCCCATAACAACTAGACAGAAGCATTCTCAGAAACTTATTTGAGATGTGTGTACTCAACTAAGAGAATTGAACCACCGTTTTGAAGGAGCAGTTTTGAAACACTCTTTTTCTGGAATCTGCAAGTGGATATTTGGCTAGCTTTGGGGATTTCGCTGGAAGCGGGAATACATATAAAAAGCACACAGCAGCGTTCTGAGAAACTGCTTTCTGATGTTTGCATTCAAGTCAAAAGTTGAACACTCCCTTTCATAGAGCAGTCCTGAAACACTCCTTTTGTAGTATCTGGAACTGGACTTTTGGAGCGCTTTCAGGGCTAAGGTGAAAAAGGAAATATCTTCCCATAAAAACTGGACAGAAGCATTCTCAGAAACTTACTCGTATTGTGTGTCCTCAACTAAAGGAGTAGAACCTTTCTTTTCATAGAGAAGTTTTGAAACGCTCTTTTTGTGGAATCTGCAAGTGGATATTTGGCTAGTTTTGAGGATTTCGTTGGAAGCGGGAATTCATACAAATTGCAGACTGCAGCATTCTCAGAAACTTGTTTATGCTGTATCTACTCCACTAACAAAGTTGAACCTTTCCTTTGATAGAGCAGTTTTGAAATGCTCTTTTTGTGGAATCTGCAAGTGGATATTTGGCTAGTTTTGAGGATTTCGTTGGAAGCTGGAATTCATACAAATTGCAGACTGCAGCATTCTCAGAAACTTATTTGAGATGTGTGTACTCAACTAAGAGAATTGAACCACCGTTTTGAAGGAGCAGTTTTGAAACTCTCTTTTTCTGGAATCTGCAAGTGGATATTTGGCTAGCTTTGGGGATTTCGCTGGAAGCGGGAATACATATAAAAAGCACACAGCAGCGTTCTGAGAAACTGCTTTCTGATGTTTGCATTCAAGTCAAAAGTTGAACACTCCCTTTCATAGAGCAGTCCTGAAACACCCCTTTTGTAGTATCTGGAACTGGACTTTTGGAGCGATTTCAGGGCTAAGGTGAAAAAGGAAATATCTTCCCATAAAAACTGGACAGAAGCATTCTCAGAAACTTGTTTATGCTGTATCTACTCAACTAACAAAGTTGAACCTTTCTTTTGATAGAGCAGTTTTGAAATGCTCTTTTTGTGGAATCTGCAAGTGGATATGTGGCTAGTTTTGAGGATTTCGTTGGAAGCGGGAATTCATACAAATTGCAGACTGCAGCGTTCTGAGAAACATCTTTGTGATGTTTGTATTCAGGACACAGAGTTGAACATTCCCTATCATAGAGCAGGTTTGAATCACTCCTTTTGTAGTATCTGGAAGTGGACATTTGGAGCGCTTTCAGGCCCTATGTTGGAAAAGGAAATATCTTCCCATAACAAATAGACAGGAAGCATTCTCAGAAACTTATTTGAGATGTGTGTACTCAACTAAGAGAATTGAACCACCGTTTTGAAGGAGCAGTTTTGAAACACTCTTTTTCTGGAATCTGCAAGTGGATATTTGGCTAGCTTTGGGGGATTTCGCTGGAAGCGGGAATACATATAAAAAGCACACAGCAGCGTTCTGAGAAACTGCTTTCTGATGTTTGCATTCAAGTCAAAAGTTGAACACTCCCTTTCATAGAGCAGTCCTGAAACACTCCTTTTGTAGTATCTGGAACTGGACTTTTGGAGCGCTTTCAGGGCTAAGGTGAAAAAGGAAATATCTTCCCATAAAAACTGGACAGAAGCATTCTCAGAAACTTGTTTATGCTGTATCTACTCAACTAACAAAGTTGAACCTTTCTTTTGATAGAGCAGTTTTGAAATGCTCTTTTTGTGGAATCTGCAAGTGGATATTTGGCTAGTTGTGAGGATTTCGTTGGAAGCTGGAATTCATACAAATTGCAGACTGCAGCGTTCTGAGAAACATCTTTGTGATGTTTGTATTCAGGACAGAGAGTTGAACATTCCCTATCATAGAGCAGGTTGGAATCACTCCTTTTGTAGTATCTGGAAGTGGACATTTGGAGCGCTTTCAGGCCTATGTTGAAAAAGGAAATATCTTCCCATAACAACTAGACACAAGCATTCTCAGAAACTTGTTTGTGATGTGTGTCCTCTACTGACAGAGTTGAACCTTTCTTTTCATAGAGCAGTTTTGAAACACTCTTTTTCTAGAATCTGCAAGAGGATATTTGCATAGCTTTGAGGATTTCGTGGGAAACGGGATTGTCTTCAGGTAAAATCTAGACAGAAGCATTCTCAGAAACTTCTTTGGGATGTTTGCATTCAAGTCACAGAGTAGAACATTCCCTTTGGTAGAGCAGGTTTGAAACACTCTTTTTGTAGTATCTGGAAGTGGACATTTGGAGCGCTTTCAGGCCTATGTTGGAAAGGGAAATATCTTCCCGTAACAACTAGGCAGAAGCATTCTCAGAAACTTATTTGAGATGTGTGTACTCAACTAAGAGAATTGAACCACCGTTTTGAAGGAGCAGTTTTGAAACACTCTTTTTCTGGAATCTGCAAGAGTATATTTGCCTAGCCTTGAGGATTTCTTTGGAAACGGGATTGTATTCAGATAAAATCTAGACAGAAGCATTCTCAGAAACTTCTTTGGGATGTTTGCATTCAAGTCACAGAATAGAACATTCACTTTGGTAGAGCAGGTTTCAAACACTCTTTTTGTAGTGTGTGTAAGTGGACATTTGGAGTGCTTTCAGGCCTACGTTGGAAAAGGAAATATCTTCCCATAACAACTAGACAGAAGCATTCTCAGAAACTAGTTTCTGATGTGTGTCCTCAACTAACACAGTTGAACATTTCTTTAGACAGAACAGTTTGAAACACTCTTTTTGTGGAATCTGCAAGTGGATATTTGCTAGATTTGAGGATTTCGTTGGAAACGGGATTACATATAAAAAGCAGACAGCAGCTTTCTCAGAAACTTCTTTGTGATGATTGCATTCAAGTCACAGAATTGAACATTCCCTTTCACAGAGCAGGTTTGAAACACTCTTTTTGTAGTGTGTGTAAGTGGACATTTGGAGCGCTTTCCGGCCTAAGGTGAACAAGGAAATATCTTCCCATAAAAACTAGACAGAAGCATTCTCAGAAACTTACTCGTGATGTGTGTCCTCAACTAAAGGAGTAGAACCTTTCTTTTCATAGAGAAGTTTTGAAACGCTCTTTTTGTGGAATCTGCAAGTGGATATTTGGCTAGTTTTGAGGATTTCGTTGGAAGCGGGAATTCATACAAATTGCAGACTGCAGCGTTCTGAGAAACATCTTTGTGATGTTTGTATTCAGGACACAGAGTTGAACATTCCCTATCATAGAGCAGGTTGGAATCACTCCTTTTGTAGTATCTGGAAGTGGACATTTGGAGCGCTTTCAGGCCTATGTTGAAAAAGGAAATATCTTCCCATAACAACTAGACAGAAGCATTCTCAGAAACTTGTTTGTGATGTGTGCCCTCTACTGACACAGTTGAACCTTTCTTTTCATAGAGCACTTTCGAAACACTCTTTTTGTAGAATCTGCAAGAGGATATTTGCATAGCTTTGAGGATTTCGTGGGAAACGGGATTGTCTTCAGGTAAAATCTAGACAGAAGCATTCTCAGAAACTTCTTTGGGATGTTTGCATTCAAGTCACAGAGTAGAACATTCCCGTTGGTAGAGCAGGTTTGAAACACTCTTTTTGTAGTGTGTGTAAGTGGACATTTGGAGCGCTTTCAGGCCTACGTTGGAAAAGGAAATATCTTCCCATAACAACTAGACAGAAGCATTCTCAGAAACTAGTTTCTGATGTGTGTCCTCAACTAACACAGTTGAACATTTCTTTAGACAGAACAGTTTTGAAACACTCTTTTTGTGGAATCTGCAAGTGGATATTTGGCTAGATTTGAGGATTTCGTTGGAAACGGGATTACATATAAAAAGCAGACAGCAGCATTCTCAGAAACTTCTTTGTGATGATTGCATTCAAGTCACAGAATTGAACATTCCCTTTCACAGAGCAGGTTTGAAACACTCTTTTTGTAGTGTGTGTAAGTGGACATTTGGAGCGCTTTCCGGCCTAAGGTGAACAAGGAAATATCTTCCCATAAAAACTAGACAGAAGCATTCTGAGAAACTTACTCGTGATGTGTGTCCTCAACTAAAGGAGTAGAACCTTTCTTTTCATAGAGAAGTTTTGAAACGCTCTTTTTGTGGAATCTGCAAGTGGATATTTGGCTAGTTTTGGGGATTTCGTTGAAAGCGGGAATTCATACAAATTGCAGACTGCAGCATTCTCAGAAACTTGTCCATGCTGTATCTACTCAACTAACAATGTTGAACCTTTCTTTTGATAGAGCAGTTTTGAAATGCTCTTTTTCTGGAATCTGCAAGTGGATATTTGGCTAGTTTTGAGGATTTCGTTGGAAGCGGGAATTCATACAAATTGCAGACTGCAGCATTCTCAGAAACTTACTCGTGATGTGTGTCCTCAACTAAAGGGGTAGAACCTTTCTTTTCATAGAGCAGTTTTGAAACACTCTTTTTGTAGAATCTGCAAGTGGATATTTCGATAGCTTTGTGGATTTCGTTGGAAACGGGAATATCTTCATATAAAATCTAGAGAGAAGCATTCTCAGAAACTTATTTGTGATGTGTGTCCTCAACTGACAGAGTTGAACATTTCTTTTGAGAGAGCAGTTTTGAAACACTCTTTTTGTGGAATCTGCAAGTGGATATTTGGCTGGCTTTGAGGATTTCGTTGGAAACGGGAATACATATAAAAAGCAGACAGCAAGCATTCTCAGAAACTAGTTTCTGATGTGTGTCCTCAACTAACACAGTTGAACATTTCTTTAGACAGAACAGTTTTGAAACACTCTTTTTGTGGAATTTGCAAGTGGATATTTGGCTAGATTTGAGCATTTCGTTGGAAACGGGATTACATATAAAAAGCAGACAGGGCATTCTCAGAAAGTTCTTTGTGATGATTGCATTCAAGTCACAGAATTGAACATTCCCTTTCACAGAGCAGGTTTGAAACACTCTTTTTGTAGTGTGTGTAAGTGGACATTTGGAGCGCTTTCCGGCCTAAGGTGAAAAAGGAAATATCTTCCCATAAAAACTAGACAGAAGCATTCTCAGAAACTTACTCGTGATGTGTGTACTCAAGTAAAATAGAAGAAACTTTCTTTTCATAGAGAAGTTTTGAAACGCTCTTTTTGTGGAATCTGCAAGTGGATATTTGGCTAGTTTTGAGGATTTCGTTGGAAGCGGGAATTCATACAAATTGCAGACTGCAGCGTTCTGAGAAACATCTTTGTGATGTTTGTATTCAGGACACAGAGTTGAACGTTCCCTATCATAGAGCAGGTTGGAATCACTCCTTTTGTAGTATCTGGAAGTGGACATTTGGAGCGCTTTCAGGCCTATGTTGGAAAAGGAAATATCTTCCCATAACAAATAGACAGAAGCATTCTCAGAAACTTATTTGAGATGTGTGTACTCAACTAAGAGAATTGAACCACCGTTTTGAAGGAGCAGTTTTGAAACACTCTTTTTCTGGAATCTGCAAGTGGATATCTGGCTAGCTTTGGGGATTTCGCTGGAAGCGGGAATACATATAAAAAGCACACAGCAGCGTTCTGAGAAACTTCTTTCTGATGTTCGCATTCAAGTCAAAAGTTGAACACTCCCTTTCATAGAGCAGTCTTGAAACTCCCCTTTTGTGGTATCTGGAAGTGGACATTTGGAGTGCTTTCAGGGCTAAGGTGAAAAAGGAAATATCTTCCCATAAAAACTGGACAGAAGCATTCTCAGAAACTTGTTTATGCTGTATCTACTCAGCTAACAAAGTTGAACCTTTCTTTTGATAGAGCAGTTTTGAAATGCTCTTTTTGTGGAGTCTGCAAGTGGATATTTGGTTAGTTTTGAGGATTTCTTTGGAAGCGGGAATTCATACAAATTGCAGACTGCAGCGTTCTGAGAAACATCTTTGTGATGTTTGTATTCAGGACACAGAGTTGAACATTCCCTATCATAGAGCAGGTTGGAATCACTCCTTTTGTAGTATCTGGAAGTGGACATTTGGAGCGCTTTCAGGCCTATGTTGAAAAAGGAAATATCTTCCCATAACAAGTAGACACAAGCATTCTCAGAAACTTGTTTGTGATGTGTGCCCTCTACTGACAGAGTTGAACCTTTCTTTTCATAGAGCAGTTTCGAAACACTCTTTTTGTAGAATCTGCAAGAGGATATTTGCATAGCTTTGAGGATTTCGTGGGAAACGGGATTGTCTTCAGGTAAAATCTAGACAGAAGCATTCTCAGAAAATTCTTCGGGATGTTTGCATTCAAGTCACAGAGTAGAACATTCCCTTTGGTAGAGCAGGTTTGAAACACTCTTTTTGTAGTATCTGGAAGTGGACATTTGGAGCGCTTTCAGGCCTATGTTGGAAAGGGAAATATCTTCCCGTAACAACTAGGCAGAAGCATTCTCAGAAACTTATTTGAGATGTGTGTACTCAACTAAGAGAATTGAACCACCGTTTTGAAGGACCAGTTTTGAAACACTCTTTTTCTGGAATCTGCTAGAGTATATTTGCCTAGCTTTGAGGATTTCATTGGAAACGGGATTGTCTTCAGCTAAAATCTAGACAGAAGCATTCTCAGAAACTTCTTTGGGATGTTTCTATTCAAGTCACAGAGTAGAACATTCCCTTTGGTAGAGCAGGTTTGAAACACTCTTTTTGTAGTATCTGGAAGTGGACATTTGGAGCGCTTTCAGGCCTATGTTGGAAAGGGAAATATCTTCCCGTAACAACTAGGCAGAAGCATTCTCAGAAACTTATTTGAGATGGGTGTACTCAACTAAGAGAATTGAACCACCCTTTTGAAGGAGCAGTTTTGAAACACTCTTTTTCTGGAATCTGCAAGAGTATATTTGCCTAGCTTTGAGGATTTCGTTGGAAACGGGATTGTCTTCAGATAAAATCTAGACAGAAGCATTCTCAGAAACTTCTTTGGGTGTTTGCATTCAATTCATAGAGTAGAACATTCCCTTTGTTAGAGCAGGTTTGAAACACTCTTTTTTTAGTATATGGAAGTGGACATTTGGAGCGCTTTCAGGCCTACGTTGGAAAAGGAAATATCTTCCCATAACAACTAGACAGAAGCATTCTCAGAAACTAGTTTCTGATGTGTGTCCTCAACTAACACAGTTGAACATTTCTTTAGACAGAACAGTTTTGAAACACTCTTTTTGTGGAATCTGCAAGTGGCTATTTGGCTAGATTTGAGGATTTCTTTGGAAACGGGATTACATATAAAAAGCTGACAGCAGCATTCTCAGAAAGTTCTTTGTGATGATTGCATTCAAGTCACAGAATTGAACATTCCCTTTCACAGAGCAGGTTTGAAACACTCTTTTTGTAGTGTGTGTAAGTGGACATTTGGAGCACTTTCCGGCCTAAGGTGAAAAAGGACATATCTTCCCATAAAAACTAGACAGAAGCGTTCTGAGAAACATCTTTGTGATGTTTGTATTCAGGACACAGAGTTGAATATTCCCTATCATAGAGCAGGTTGGAATCACTCCTTTTGTCGTATCTGGAAGTGGACGTTTGGAGCGTTTTCAGGCCTATGTTGGAAAAGGAAATATCCTCCCATAACAGCTAGACAGAAGCATTCTCAGAAACCTATTGGAGATGTGTGTACTCAACTAGGAGAATTGAACCACCGTTTTGAAGGAGCAGTTTTGAAATACTCTTTTTCTTGAATCTGCAAGTGGATATTTGGCTAGCTTTGGGGATATCGCTGGAAGCGGGAATACATATAAAAAGCACACAGCAGCATTCTCAGAAACTTATTTGAGATGTGTGTACTCAACTAAGAGAATTGAACCACCGTTTTGAAGGAGCAGTTTTGAAACTCTCTTTTTCTGGAATCTGCAAGTGGATATTTGGCTAGCTTTGGGGATTTCGCTGGAAGCGGGAATACATATAAAAAGCACACAGCAGCGTTCTGAGAAACTGCTTTCTGATGTTTGCATTCAAGTCAAAAGTTGAACACTCCCTTTCATAGAGCAGTCCTGAAACACCCCTTTTGTAGTATCTGGAACTGGACTTTTGGAGCGATTTCAGGGCTAAGGTGAAAAAGGAAATATCTTCCCATAAAAACTGGACAGAAGCATTCTCAGAAACTTGTTTATGCTGTATCTACTCAACTAACAAAGTTGAACCTTTCTTTTGATAGAGCAGTTTTGAAATGGTCTTTTTGTGGAATCTGCAAGTGGATATTTGGCTAGTTTTGAGGATTTCGTTGGAAGCGGGAATTCATACAAATTGCAGACTGCAGCCTTCTGAGAAACATCTTTGTGATGTTTTTATTCAGGACACAGAGTTGAACATTCCCTATCATAGAGCAGGTTGGAATCACTGCTTTTGTCGTATCTGGAAGTGGACATTTGTAGCGCTTTCAGGCCTATGTTGGAAAAGGAAATATCTTCCCATAACAGCTAGACAGAAGCATTCTCAGAAACTTGTTTGTGATGTGTGCCCTCTACTGACAGAGTTGAACCTTTCTTTTCATAGAGCAGTTTTGAAACACTCTTTTTGTAGAATCTGCAAGAGGATATTTGCATAGCTTTGAGGATTTCGTGGGAAACGGGATTGTCTTCAGGTAAAATCTAGACAGAAGCATTCTCAGAAACTTCTTTGGGATGTTTGCATTCAAGTCACAGAGTAGAACATTCCCTTTGGTAGAGCAGGTTTGAAACACTCTTTTTGTAGTATCTGGAAGTGGACATTTGGAGCGCTTTCAGGCCCATGTTGGAAAAGGAAATATCTTCCCGTAACAACTAGGCAGAAGCATTCTCAGAAACTTATTTGAGATGTGTGTACTCAACTAAGAGAATTGAACCACCGTTTTGAAGGAGCAGTTTTGAAACACTCTTTTTCTGGAATCTGCAAGAGTATATTTGCCTAGCCTTGAGGATTTCGTTGGAAACGGGATTGTATTCAGATAAAATCTAGACAGAAGCATTCTCAGAAACTTCTTTGGGATGTTTGCATTCAAGTCACAGAGTAGAACATTCCCTTTGGTAGAGCAGGTTTGAAACACTCTTTTTTTAGTATATGGAAGTGGACATTTTGATCGCTTTCAGGACTACGTTGGAAAAGGAAATATCTTCCCAAAACAACTAGACAGAAGCATTCTCAGAAACTAGTTTCTGATGTGTGTCCTCAACTAACACAGTTGAACATTTCTATAGACAGAACAGTTTTGAAACACTCTTTTTGTGGAATCTGCAAGTGGCTATTTGGCTAGATTTGAGGATTTCGTTGGAAACGGGATTACATATAAAAAGCAGTCAGCAGCATTCTCAGAAAGTTCTTTGTGATGATTGCATTCAAGTCACAGAATTGAACATTCCCTTTCACAGAGCAGGTTTGAAACACTCTTTTTGTAGTGTGTGTAAGTGGATATTTGGAACCCTTACCGGCCTAAGGTGAAAAAGGAAATATCTTCCCATAAAAACTAGACAGAAGCATTCTCAGAAACCTATTTGAGATGTGTGTACTCAACTAGGAGAATTGAACCACCGTTTTGAAGGAGCAGTTTTGAAACACTCTTTTTCTAGGATCTGCAAGTGGATATTTGGCTAGCTTTGGGGATTTCGCTGGAAGCGGGAATACATATAAAAAGCACACAGCAGCGTTCTGAGAAACTGCTTTCTGATGTTTGCATTCAAGTCAAAAGTTGAACACTCCCTTTCATAGAGCAGGCCTGAAACACCCCTTTTGTAGTATCTGGAAGTGGACATTTGGAGCGCTTTCAGGGCTAAGGTGAAAAAGGAAATATCTTCCCATAAAAACTGGACAGAAGCATTCTCAGAAACTTATTTGAGATGTGTGTACTCAACTAAGAGAATTGAACCACCGTTTTGAAGGAGCAGTTTTGAAACACTCTTTTTCTGGAATCTGCAAGTGGATATTTGGCTAGCTTTGGGGATTTCGCTGGAAGCGGGAATACATATAAAAAGCACACAGCAGCGTTCTGAGAAACTGCTTTCTGATGTTTGCATTCAAGTCAAAAGTTGAACACTCCCTTTCATAGAGCAGTCTTGAAACACCCCTTTTGTAGTATCTGGAACTGGACTTTTGGAGCGATTTCAGGGCTAAGGTGAAAAAGGAAATATCTTCCCATAAAAACTGGACAGAAGCATTCTCAGAAACTTGGTTATGCTGTATCTACTCAACTAACAAAGTTGAACCTTTCTTTTGATAGAGCAGTTTTGAAATGGTCTTTTTGTGGAATCTGCAAGTGGATATTTGGCTAGTTTTGAGGATTTCGTTGGAAGCGGGAATTCATACAATTTGCAGACTGCAGCGTTCTGAGAAACATCTTTGTGATGTTTGTATTCAGGACACAGAGTTGAACATTCCCTATCATAGAGCAGGTTGGAATCACTCCTTTTGTAGTATCTGGAAGTGGACATTTGGAGCGCATTCAGGCCTATTTTGGAAAGGGAAATATCTTCCCGTAACAACTATGCAGAAGCATTCTCAGAAACTTGTTTGTGATGTGTGCCCTCTACTGACAGAGTTGAACCTTTCTTTTCATAGAGCAGTTTTGAAACACTCTTTTTGTAGAATCTGCAAGAGGATATTTGCATAGCTTTGAGGATTTCGTGGGAAACGGGATTGTCTTCAGGTAAAATCTAGACAGAAGCATTCTCAGAAACTACTTTGGGATGTTTGCATTCAAGTCACAGAGTAGAACATTCCCTTTGGTAGAGTAGGTTTGAAACACTCTTTTTGTAGTATCTGGAAGTGGACATTGGGAGCGATTTCAGGCCCATGTTGGAAAGGGAAATATCTTCCCGTAACAACTAGGCAGAAGCATTCTCAGAAACTTATTTGAGATGTGTGTACTCAACTAAGAGAATTGAACCACCGTTTTGAAGGAGCAGTTTTGAAACACTCTTTTTCTGGAATCTGCAAGAGTATATTTGCCTAGCCTTGAGGATTTCGTTGGAAACGGGATTGTCTTCAGAGAAAATCTAGACAGAAGCATTCTCAGAAACTTCTTTGGGATGTTTGCATTCAAGTCACAGAGTAGAACATTCCCTTTGGTAGAGCAGGTTTGAAACACTCTTTTTGTAGTATCTGGAAGTGGACATTTGGAGCGCTTTCAGGCCTACGTTGGAAAAGGAAATATCTTCCCATAACAACTAGACAGAAGCATTCTCAGAAACTAGTTTCTGATGTGTGTCCTCAACTAACACAGTTGAACATTTCTTTAGACAGAACAGTTTTGAAACACTCTTTTTGTGGAATCTGCAAGTGGCTATTTGGCTAGATTTGAGGATTTCGTTGGAAACGGGATTACATATAAAAAGCAGTCAGCAGCATTCTCAGAAAGTTCTTTGTGATGATTGCATTCAAGTCACAGAATTGAACATTCCCTTTCACAGAGCAGGTTTGAAACACTCTTTTTGTAGTGTGTGTAAGTGGACATTTGGAGCACTTTCCGGCCTAAGGTGAAAAAGGAAATATCTTCCCTTAAAAACTAGACAGAAGCATTCTCAGAAACTTACTCGTGATGTGTGTCCTCAACTAAAGGAGTAGAACCTTTCTTTTCATAGAGAAGTTTTGAAACGCTCTTTTTGTGGAATCTGCAAGTGGATATTTGGCTAGTTTTGAGGATTTCGTTGGAAGCGGGAATTCATACAAATTGCAGACTGCAGCGTTCTGAGAAACATCTTTGTGATGTTTGTATTCAGGACACAGAGTTGAACATTCCCTATCATAGAGCAGGTTTGAATCACTCCTTTTGTAGTATCTGGAAGTGGACATTTGGAGCACTTTCAGGCCTATGTTGGAAAAGGAAATATCTTCCCATAACAACTAGACAGAAGCATTCTCAGAAACTTATTTGAGAAGTGTGTACTCAACTAAGAGAATTGAACCACCGTTTTGAAGGAGCAGTTTTGAAACACTCTTTTTCTGGAATCTGCAATTGGATATTTGGCTAGCTTTGGGGATTTCGCTGGAAGCGGGAATACATATAAAAAGCACACAGCAGCGTTCTGAGAAACTGCTTTCTGATGTTTGCATTCAAGTCAAAAGTTGAACACTCCCTTTCATAGAGCAGTCCTGAAACACTCCTTTTGTAGTATCTGGAACTGGACTTTTGGAGCGCTTTCAGGGCTAAGGTGAAAAAGGAAATATCTTCCCATAAAAACTGGACAGAAGCATTCTCAGAAACTTGTTTATGCTGTATCTACTCTACTAACAAAGTTGAAGCTTTCTTTTGATAGAGCAGTTTTGAAATGCTCTTTTTGTGGAATCTGCAAGTGGATATTTGGCTAGATTTGAGGATTTCGTTGGAAGCTGGAATTCATACAAATTGCAGACTGCAGTGTTCTGAGAAACATCTTTGTGATGTTTGTATTCAGGACACAGAGTTGAACATTCCCTATCATAGAGCAGGTTGGAATCACTCCTTTTGTAGTATCTGGAAGTGGACATTTGGAGCGCTTTCAGGCCTATGTTGAAAAAGGAAATATCTTCCCATAACAACTAGGCAGAAGCATTCTCAGAAACTTGTTTGTGATGTGTGCCCTCTACTGACAGAGTTGAACCTTTCTTTTCATAGAGCAGTTTTGAAACACTCTTTTATAGAATCCGCAAGAGGATATTTGCATAGCTTTGAGGATTTCGTGGGAAACGGATTTGTCTTCAGGTAAAATCTAGACAGAAGCATTCTCAGAAACTTCTTTGAGATGTTTGCATTCAAGTCACAGAGTAGAACATTCCCTTTGGTAGAGCAGGTTTGAAACACTCTTTTTGTAGTATCTGGAAGTGGACATTTGGAGCGCTTTCAGGCCCATGTTGGAAAGGGAAATATCTTCCCGTAACAACTAGGCAGAAGCATTCTCAGAAACTTATTTGAGATGTGTGTACTCAACTAAGAGAATTGAACCACCGTTTTGAAGGAGCAGTTTTGAAACACTCTTTTTCTGGAATCTGCAAGAGTATATTTGCCTAGCCTTGAGGATTTCGTTGGAAACGGGATTGTCTTCAGAGAAAATCTAGACAGAAGCATTCTCAGAAACTTCTTTGGGATGTTTGCATTCAAGTCACAGAGTAGAACATTCCCTTTGGTAGAGCAGGTTTGAAACACTCTTTTTTTAGTATATGGAAGTGGACATTTGGAGCGCTTTCAGGCCTACGTTGGAAAAGGAAATATCTTCCCATAACAACTAGACAGAAGCATTCTCAGAAACTAGTTTCTGATGTGTGTCCTCAACTAACACAGTTGAACATTTCTTTAGACAGAACAGTTTTGAAACACTCTTTTTGTGGAATCTGCAAGTGGCTATTTGGCTAGATTTGAGGATTTCGTTGGAAACGGGATTACATATAAAAAGCAGTCAGCAGCATTCTCAGAAAGTTCTTTGTGATGATTGCATTCAAGTCACAGAATTGAACATTCCCTTTCACAGAGCAGGTTTGAAACACTCTTTTTGTAGTGTGTGTAAGTGGACATTTGGAGCACTTACCGGCCTAAGGTGAAAAAGGAAATATCTTCCCATAAAAACTAGACAGAAGCATTCTCAGAAACTTACTCGTGATGTGTGTCCTCAACTAAAGGAGTAGAACCTTTCTTTTCATAGAGAAGTTTTGAAACGCTCTTTTTGTGGAATCTGCAAGTGGATATTTGGCTAGTTTTGAGGATTTCGTTGGAAGCGGGAATTCATACAAATTGCAGACTGCAGCGTTCTGAGAAACATCTTTGTGATGTTTGTATTCAGGACACAGAGTTGAACATTCCCTATCATAGAGCAGGTTGGAATCACTCCTTTTGTAGTATCTGGAAGTGGACATTTCTAGCGCTTTCAGGCATATGTTGAAAAAGGAAATATCTTCCCATAACAACTAGACAGAGGCATTCTCAGAAACTTGTTTGTGATGTGTGCCCTCTACTGACACAGTTGAACCTTTCTTTTCATAGAGCACTTTCGAAACACTCTTTTTGTAGAATTTGCAAGAGGATATTTGCATAGCTTTGAGGATTTCGTGGGAAACGGGATTGTCTTCAGGTAAAATCTAGACAGAAGCATTCTCAGAAACTTCTTCAGGATGTTTGCATTCAAGTCACAGAGTAGAACATTCCCTTTGGTAGAGCAGGTTTGAAACACTCTTTTTGTCGTATCTGGAAGTGGACATTTGTTGCGCTTTCAGGCCTATGTTGGAAAGGGAAATATCTTCCCGTAACAACTAGGCAGAAGCATTCTCAGAAACTTATTTGAGATGTGTGTACTCAACTAAGAGAATTGAACCACCGTTTTGAAGGAGCAGTTTTGAAACACTCTTTTTCTGGAATCTGCAAGAGGATATTTGCCTAGCTTTGAGGATTTCGTTGGAAACGGGATTGTGTTCAGATCAAATCTAGACAGAAGCATTCTCAGAAACTTCTTTGGGATGTTTGCATTCAAGTCACAGAGTAGAACATTCCCTTTGGTAGAGCAGGTTTGAAACACTCTTTTTTTAGTATATGGAAGTGGACATTTGGAGCGCTTTCAGGCCTACGTTGGAAAAGGAAATATCTTCCCATAACAACTAGACAGAAGCATTCTCAGAAACTAGTTTCTGATGTGTGTCCTCAACTAACACAGTTGAACATTTCTTTAGACAGAACAGTTTTGAAACTCTCTTTTTGTGGAATCTGCAAGTGGCTATTTGGCTAGATTTGAGGATTTCGTTGGAAACGGGATTACATATAAAAAGCAGACAGCAGCATTCTCAGAACGTTCTTTGTGATGATTACATTCAAGTCACAGAATTGAACATTCCCTTTCACAGAGCAGGTTTGAAACACTCTTTTTGTAGTGTGTGTAAGTGGACATTTGGAGCACTTTCCAGCCTAAGGTGAAAAAGGAAATATCTTCCCATAAAAACTAGACAGAAGCATTCTCAGAAACTTACTCGTGATGTGTGTCCTCAACTAAAGGAGTAGAACCTTTCTTTTCATAGAGAAGTTTTGAAACGCTCTTTTTGTGGAATCTGCAAGTGGATATTTGGCTAGTTTGGAGGATTTCGTTGGAAGCGGGAATTCATACAAATTGCAGACTGCAGCGTTCTGAGAAACATCTTTGTGATGTTTGTATTCAGGACACAGAGTTGAACATTCCCTATCATAGAGCAGGTTGGAATCACTCCTTTTGTAGTATCTGGAAGTGGACATTTGGAGCGCTTTCAGGCCTATGTTGGAAAAGGAAATATCTTCCCATAACAACTAGACAGAAGCATTCTCAGAAACTTATTTGAGATGTGTGTACTCAACTAAGAGAATTGAACCACCGTTTTGAAGGAGCAGTTTTGAAACACTCTTTTTCTGGAATCTGCAAGTGGATATTTGGCTAGCTTTGGGGATTTCGCTGGAAGCGGGAATACATATAAAAAGCACACAGCAGCGTTCTGAGAAACTGCTTTCTGATGTTTGCATTCAAGTCAAAATTTGAACACTCCCTTTCATAGAGCAGTCTTGAAACACCCGTTTTGTAGTATCTGGAACTGGACTTTTGGAGCGATTTCAGGGCTAAGGTGAAAAAGGAAATATCTTCCCATAAAAACTGGACAGAAGCATTCTCAGAAACTTGTTTATGCTGTATCTACTCAACTAACAAAGTTGAACCTTTCTTTTGATAGAGCAGTTTTGAAATGGTCTTTTTGTGGAATCTGCAAGTGGATATTTGGCTAGTTTTGAGGATTTCGTTGGAAGCGGGAATTCATACAAATTGCAGACTGCAGCGTTCTGAGAAACATCTTTGTGATGTTTGTATTCAGGACACAGAGTTGAACATTCCCTATCATAGAGCAGGTTTGAATCACTCCTTTTGTAGTATCTGGAAGTGGACATTTGGAGCGCTTTCCGGCCTCAGGTGAAAAAGGAAATATCTTCCCATAAAAACTAGGCAGAGGCATTCTCAGAAACTTGTTTGTGATGTGTGCCCTCTACTGACACAGTTGAACCTTTCTTTTCATAGAGCACTTTCGAAACACTCTTTTTGTAGAATCTGCAAGAGGATATTTGCATAGCTTTGAGGATTTTGTGGGAAACGGGATTGACTTCAGGTAAAATCTAGACAGAAGCATTCTCAGAAAATTTTTCGGGATGTTTGCATTCAAGTCACAGAGTAGAACATTCCCTTTGGTAGAGCAGGTTTGAAACACTCTTTTTGTAGTATCTGGAAGTGGACATTTGGAGCGCTTTCAGGCCTATGTTGGAAAGGGAAATATCTTCCCGTAACAACTAGGCAGAAGCATTCTCAGAAACTTATTTGAGATGTGTGTACTCAACTAAGAGAATTGAACCACCGTTTTGAAGGAGCAGTTTTGAAACACTCTTTTTCTGGAATCTGCTAGACGATATTTGCCTAGCCTTGAGGATTTCGTTGGAAACGGGATTGTCTTCAGATAAAATCTAGACAGAAGCATTCTCAGAAACTTCTTTGGGATGTTTGCATTCAAGTCACAGAGTAGAACATTCCCTTTGGTAGAGCAGGTTTGAAACACTCTTTTTTTAGTATATGGAAGTGGACATTTGGAGCGCTTTCAGGCCTACGTTGGAAAAGGAGATATCTTCCCATAACAACTAGACAGAAGCATTCTCAGAAACTAGTTTCTGATGTGTGTCCTCAACTAACACAGTTGAACATTTCTTTAGACAGAACAGTTTTGAAACACTCTTTTTGTGGAATCTGCAAGTGGCTATTTGGCTAGATTTGAGGATTTCGTTGGAAACGGGATTACATATAAAAAGCAGACAGCAGCATTCTCAGAAAGTTCTTTGTGATGATTGCATTCAAGTCACAGAATTGAACATTCCCTTTCACAGAGCAGGTTTGAAACACTCTTTTTGTAGTGTGTGTAAGTGGACATTTGGAGCACTTTCCGGCCTAAGGTGAAAAAGGAAATATCTTCCCATAAAAACTAGACAGAAGCATTCTCAGAAACTTACTCGTGATGTGTGTCCTCAACTAAAGGTGTAGAACCTTTCTTTTCATAGAGAAGTTTTGAAACGCTCTTTTTGTGGAATCTGCAAGTGGATATTTGGCTAGTTTTGAGGATTTCGTTGGAAGCGGGAATTGATACAAATTGCAGACTGCAGCGTTCTGAGAAACGGCTTTCTGCTGCTTGCATTCAAGTCAAAAGTTGAACACTCCCTTTCATAGAGCAGGCTTGAAACACCCCTTTTGTACTATCTGGAAGTGGACATTTGGGGCGCTTTCAGGGCTAAGGTGAAAAAGGAAATATCTTCCCACAAAAACTAGACAGAAGCATTCTCAGAAACTTATTTGAGATGTGTGTACTCAACTAAGAGAATTGAACCACCGTTTTGAAGGAGCAGTTTTGAAACACTCTTTTTCTGGAATCTGCAAGTGGATATTTGGCTAGCTTTGGGGATTTCGCTGGAAGCGGGAATACATATAAAAAGCACACAGCAGCGTTCTGAGAAACTGCTTTCTGATGTTTGCATTCAAGTCAAAAGTTGAACACTCCCTTTCATAGAGCAGTCCTGAAACACCCCTTTTGTAGTATCTGGAACTGGACTTTTGGAGCGCTTTCAGGGCTAAGGTGAAAAAGGAAATATCTTCCCATAAAAACTGGACAGAAGCATTCTCAGAAACTTGTTTATGCTGTATCTACTCAACTAACAAAGTTGAACCTTTCTTTTGATAGAGCAGTTTTGAAATGCTCTTTTTGTGGAATCTGCAAGTGGATATTTGGCTAGTTTTGAGGATTTCGTTGGAAGCGGGAATTCATACAAATTGCAGACCTCAGCGTTCTGAGAAACATCTTTGTGATGTTTGTATTCAGGACAGAGAGTTGAACATTCCCTATCATAGAGCAGGTTGGAATCACTCCTTTTGTAGTATCTGGAAGTGGACATTTGGAGCGCTTTCAGGCCTATGTTGAAAAAGGAAATATCTTCCCATAACAACTAGACACAAGCATTCTCAGAAACTTATTTGAGATGTGTGTACTCAACTAAGAGAATTGAACCACCGTTTTGAAGGAGCAGTTTTGAAACACTCTTTTTCTGGAATCTGCAAGTGGATATTTGGCTAGCTTTGGGGATTTCGCTGGAAGCGGGAATACATATAAAAAGCACACAGCAGCGTTCTGAGAAACTGCTTTCTGATGTTTGCATTCAAGTCAAAAGTTGAACACTCCCTTTCATAGAGCAGTCTTGAAACACCCCTTTTGTAGTATCTGGAACTGGACTTTTGGAGCGCTTTCAGGGCTAAGGTGAAAAAGGAAATATCTTCCCATAAAAACTGGACAGAAGCATTCTCAGAAACTTGTTTATGCTGTATCTACTCAACTAACAAAGTTGAACCTTTCTTTTGATAGAGCAGTTTTGAAATGCTCTTTTTGTGGAATCTGCAAGTGGATATTTGGCTAGTTTTGAGGATTTCGTTGGAAGCGGGAATTCATACAAATTGCAGACTGCAGCGTTCTGAGAAACATCTTTGTGATGTTTGTATTCAGGACAGAGAGTTGAACATTCCCTATCATAGAGCAGGTTGGAATCACTCCTTTTGTAGTATCTGGAAGTGGACATTTGGAGCGCTTTCAGGCCTATGTTGAAAAAGGAAATATCTTCCCATAACAACTAGACACAAGCATTCTCAGAAACTTGTTTGTGATGTGTGCCCTCTACTGACAGAGTTGAACCTTTCTTTTCATAGAGCAGTTTTGAAACACTCTTTTTGTAGAATCTGCAAGAGGATATTAGCATAGCTTTGAGGATTTCGTGGGAAACGGGATTGTCTTCAGGTAAAATCTAGACAGAAGCATTCTCAGAAACTTCTTTGGGATGTTTGCATTCAAGTCACAGAGTAGAACATTCCCTTTGGTAGAGCAGGTTTGAAACACTCTTTTTGTAGTATCTGGAAGTGGACATTTGGAGCGCTTTCAGGCCCATGTTGGAAAGGGAAATATCTTCCCGTAACAACTAGGCAGAAGCATTCTCAGAAACTTATTTGAGATGTGTGTACTCAACTAAGAGAATTGAACCACCGTTTTGAAGGAGCAGTTTTGAAACACTCTTTTTCTGGAATCTGCAAGAGGATATTTGCCTAGCCTTGAGGATTTCGTTGGAAACGGGATTGTCTTCAGATCAAATCTAGACAGAAGCATTCTCAGAAACTTCTTTGGGATGTTTGCATTCAAGTCACAGAGTAGAACATTCCCTTTGGTAGAGCAGGTTTGAAGCCCTCTTTTTTTAGTATATGGAAGTGGACATTTGGAGCGCTTTCCGGCCTACGTTGGAAAAGGAAATATCTTCCCATAACAACTAGACAGAAGCATTCTCAGAAACTAGTTTCTGATGTGTGTCCTCAACTAACACAGTTGAACATTTCTTTAGACAGAACAGTTTTGAAACACTCTTTTTGTGGAATCTGCAAGTGGCTATTTGGCTAGATTTGAGGATTTCGTTGGAAAGGGGATTACATATAAAAAGCAGACAGCAGCATTCTCAGAAAGTTCTTTGTGATGATTGCATTCAAGTCACAGAATTGAACATTCCCTTTCACAGAGCAGGTTTGAAACACTCTTTTTGTAGTGTGTGTAAGTGGACATTTGGAGCACTTTCCGGCCTAAGGTGAAAAAGGAAATATCTTCCCATAAAAACTAGACAGAAGCATTCTCAGAAACTTACTCATGATGTGTGTACTCAAGTAAAGGAGTAGAAACTTTCTTTTCATAGAGAAGTTTTGAAACGCTCTTTTTGTGGAATCTGCAAGTGGATATTTGGCTAGTTTTGAGGATTTCGTTGGAAGCGGGAATTCATACAAATTGCAGACTGCAGCGTTCTGAGAAACATCTTTGTGATGTTTGTATTCAGGACACAGAGTTGAACATTCCCTATCATAGAGCAGGTTGGAATCACTCCTTTTGTCGTATCTGGAAGTGGACGTTTGGAGCGCTTTCAGGCCTATGTTGGAAAAGGAAATATCCTCCCATAACAGCTACACAGAAGCATTCTCAGAAACTTATTTGAGATGTGTGTACTCAACTAAGAGAATTGAACCACCGTTTTGAAGGAGCAGTTTTGAAACTCTCTTTTTCTGGAATCTGCAAGTGGATATTTGGCTAGCTTTGGGGATTTCGCTGGAAGCGGGAATACATATAAAAAGCACACAGCAGCGTTCTGAGAAACTGCTTTCTGATGTTTGCATTCAAGTCAAAAGTTGAACACTCCCTTTCATAGAGCAGTCTTGAAACACCCCTTTTGTAGTATCTGGAACTGGACTTTTGGAGCGATTTCAGGGCTAAGGTGAAAAAGGAAATATCTTCCCATAAAAACTGGACAGAAGCATTCTCAGAAACTTGTTTACGCTGTATCTACTCAACTAACAAAGTTGAACCTTTCTTTTGATAGAGCAGTTTTGAAATGGTCTTTTTGTGGAATCTGCAAGTGGATATTTGGCTAGTTTTGAGGATTTCGTTGGAAGCGGGAATTCATACAAATTGCAGACTGCAGCGTTCTGAGAAACATCTTTGTGATGTTTGTATTCAGGACAGAGAGTTGAACATTCCCTATCATAGAGCAGGTTGGAATCACTCCTTTTGTAGTATCTGGAAGTGGACATTTGGAGCGCTTTCAGGCCTATGTTGAAAAAGGAAATATCTTCCCATAACAACTAGACACAAGCATTCTCAGAAACTTGTTTGTGATGTGTGCCCTCTACTGACAGAGTTGAACCTTTCTTTTCATAGAGCAGTTTTGAAACACTCTTTTTGTAGAATCTGCAAGAGGATATTTGCATAGCTTTGAGGATTTCGTGGGAAACGGGATTGTCTTCAGGTAAAATCTAGACAGAAGCATTCTCAGAAACTTCTTTGGGATGTTTGCATTCAAGTCACAGAGTAGAACATTCCCTTTGGTAGAGCAGGTTTGAAACACTCTTTTTGTACTATCTGGAAGTGGACATTTGGAGCGCTTTCAGGCCTATGTTGGAAAGGGAAATATCTTCCCGTAACAACTAGGCAGAAGCATTCTCAGAAACTTATTTGAGATGTGTGTACTCAACTAAGAGAATTGAACCACCGTTTTGAAGGAGCAGTTTTGAAACCCTCTTTTTCTGGAATCTGCAAGAGTATATTTGCCTAGCCTTGAGGATTTCGTTGGAAACGGGATTGTCTTCAGATAAAATCTAGACAGAAGCATTCTCAGAAACTTCTTTGGGATGTTTGTATTCAAGTCACAGAGTAGAACATTCCCTTTGGTAGAGCAGGTTTGAAACACTCTTTTTTTAGTATATGGAAATGGACATTTGGAGCGCTTTCAGGCCTACGTTGGAAAAGGAAATATCTTCCCATAACAACTAGACAGAAGCATTCTCAGAAACTTGTTTCTGATGTGTGTCCTCAACTAACACAGTTGAACTTTTCTTTAGACAGAACAGTTTTGAAACACTCTTTTTGTGGAATCTGCAAGTGGATATTTGGCTAGATTTGAGGATTTCGTTGGAAACGGGATTACATATAAAAAGCAGACAGCAGCATTCTCAGAAAGTTCTTTGTGATGATTGCATTCAAGTCACAGAATTGAACATTCCCTTTCACAGAGCAGGTTTGAAACACTCTTTTTGTAGTGTGTGTAAGTGGACATTTGGAGCGCTTTCCGGCCTAAGGTGAAAAAGGAAATATCTTCCCATAAAAACTAGACAGAAGCATTCTCAGAAACTTACTCGTGATGTGTGTCCTCAACTAAAGGAGTAGAACCTTTCTTTTCATAGAGAAGTTTTGAAACGCTCTTTTTGTGGAATCTGCAAGTGGATATTTGGCTAGTTTTGAGGATTTCGTTGGAAGCGGGAATTCATACAAATTGCAGACTGCAGCGTTCTGAGAAACATCTTTGTGATGTTTGTATTCAGGACACAGAGTTGAACATTCCCTATCATAGAGCAGGTTGGAATCACTCCTTTTGTAGTATCTGGAAGTGGACATTTGGAGCGCTTTCAGGCCTATGTTGGAAAAGGAAATATCTTCCCATAACAACTAGACAGAAGCATTCTCAGAAACTTATTTGAGATGTGTGTACTCAACTAAGAGAATTGAACCACCGTTTTGAAGGAGCAGTTTTGAAACTCTCTTTTTCTGGAATCTGCAAGTGGATATTTGGCTAGCTTTGGGGATTTCGCTGGAAGCGGGAATACATATAAAAAGCACACAGCAGCGTTCTGAGAAACTGCTTTCTGATGTTTGCATTCAAGTCAAAAGTTGAACACTCCCTTTCATAGAGCAGTCTTGAAACACCCCTTTTGTAGTATCTGGAACTGGACTTTTGGAGCGATTTCAGGGCTAAGGTGAAAAAGGAAATATCTTCCCATAAAAACTGGACAGAAGCATTCTCAGAAACTTGGTTATGCTGTATCTACTCAACTAACAAAGTTGAACCTTTCTTTTGATAGAGCAGTTTTGAAATGGTCTTTTTGTGGAATCTGCAAGTGGATATTTGGCTAGTTTTGAGGATTTCGTTGGAAGCGGGAATTCATACAAATTGCAGACTGCAGCGTTCTGAGAAACATCTTTGTGATGTTTGTATTCAGGACACAGAGTTGAACATTCCCTATCATAGAGCAGGTTGGAATCACTCCTTTTGTAGTATCTGGAAGTGGACATTTGGAGCGCTTTCAGGCCTATTTTGGAAAGGGAAATATCTTCCCGTAACAACTATGCAGAAGCATTCTCAGAAACTTGTTTGTGATGTGTGCCCTCTACTGACAGAGTTGAACCTTTCTTTTCATAGAGCAGTTTTGAAACACTCTTTTTGTAGAATCTGCAAGAGGATATTTGCATAGCTTTGAGGATTTCGTGGGAAACGGGATTGTCTTCAGGTAAAATCTAGACAGAAGCATTCTCAGAAACTTCTTTGGGATGTTTGCATTCAAGTCACAGAGTAGAACATTCCCTTTGGTAGAGTAGGTTTGAAACACTCTTTTTGTAGTATCTGGAAGTGGACATTTGGAGCGCTTTCAGGCCCATGTTGGAAAAGGAAATATCTTCCTGTAACAACTAGGCAGAAGCATTCTCAGAAACTTATTTGAGATGTGTGTACTCAACTAAGAGAATTGAACCACCGTTTTGAAGGAGCAGTTTTGAAACACTCTTTTTTTGGAATCTGCAAGAGTATATTTGCCTAGCCTTGAGGATTTCGTTGGAAACGGGATTGTATTCCGATAAAATCTAGACAGAAGCATTCTCAAAAACTTCTTTGGGATGTTTGCATTCAAGTCACAGAGTAGAACATTCCCTTTGGTAGAGCAGGTTTGAAACACTCTTTTTTTAGTATATGGAAGTGGACATTTGGAGTGCTTTCAGGCCTACGTTGGAAAAGGAAATATCTTCCCATAACAACTAGACAGAAGCATTCTCAGAAACTAGTTTCTGATGTGTGTCCTCAACTAACACAGTTGAACATTTCTTTAGACAGAACAGTTTTGAAACACTCTTTTTGTGGAATCTGCAAGTGGCTATTTGGCTAGATTTGAGGATTTCGTTGGAAACGGGATTACATATAAAAAGCAGACAGCAGCATTCTCAGAAAGTTCTTTGTGATGATTGCATTCAAGTCACAGAATTGAACATTCCCTTTCACAGAGCAGGTTTGAAACACTCTTTTTGTAGTGTGTGTAAGTGGACATTTGGAGCACTTTCCGGCCTAAGGTAAAAAAGGAAATATCTTCCCATAAAAACTAGACAGAAGCATTCTCAGAAACTTACTCGTGATGTGTGTCCTCAACTAAAGGAGTAGAACCTTTCTTTTCATAGAGAAGTTTTGAAACGCTCTTTTTGTGGAATCTGCAAGTGGATATTTGGCTAGTTTGGAGGATTTCGTTGGAAGCGGGAATTCATACAAATTGCAGACTGCAGCGTTCTGAGAAACATCTTTGTGATGTTTGTATTCAGGACACAGAGTTGAACATTCCCTATCATAGAGCAGGTTGGAATCACTCCTTTTGTAGTATCTGGAAGTGGACATTTGGAGCGCTTTCAGGCCTATGTTGGAAAAGGAAATATCTTCCCATAACAACTAGACAGAAGCATTCTCAGAAACTTATTTGAGATGTGTGTACTCAACTAAGAGAATTGAACCACCGTTTTGAAGGAGCAGTTTTGAAACACTCTTTTTCTGGAATCTGCAAGTGGATATTTGGCTAGCTTTGGGGATTTCGCTGGAAGCGGGAATACATATAAAAAGCACACAGCAGCGTTCTGAGAAACTGCTTTCTGATGTTTGCATTCAAGTCAAAAGTTGAACACTCCCTTTCATAGAGCAGTCCTGAAACACTCCTTTTGTAGTATCTGGAACTGGACTTTTGGAGCGCTTTCAGGGCTAAGGTGAAAAAGGAAATATCTTCCCATAAAAACTGGACAGAAGCATTCTCAGAAACTTGTTTATGCTGTATCTACTCAACTAACAAAGTTGAACCTTTCTTTTGATAGAGCAGTTTTGAAATGCTCTTTTTGTGGAATCTGCAAGTGGATATTTGGCTAGTTTTGAGGATTTCGTTGGAAGTGGGAATTCATACAAATTGCAGACTGCAGCGTTCTGAGAAACATCTTTGTGATGTTTGTATTCAGGACACAGAGATGAACATTACCTATCATAGAGCAGGTTGGAATCACTCCTTTTGTAGTATCTGGAAGTGGACATTTGGAGCGCTTTCAGGCCTATGTTGAAAAAGGAAATATCTTCCCATAACAACTAGACACAAGCATTCTCAGAAACTTGTTTGTGATGTGTGCCCTCTGCTGACAGAGTTGAACCTTTCTTTTCATAGAGCAGTTTTGAAACACTCTTTTTGTAGAATCTGCAAGAGGATATTTGCATAGCTTTGAGGATTTCGTGGGAAACGGGATTGTCTTCAGGTAAAATCTAGACAGAAGCATTCTCAGAAACTTCTTTGGGATGTTTGCATTCAAGTCACAGAGTAGAACATTCCCTTTGGTAGAGCAGGTTTGAAACCCTCTTTTTGTAGTATCTGGAAGTGGACATTTGGAGCGCTTTCAGGCCCATGTTGGAAAGGGAAATATCTTCCCGTAACAACTAGGCAGAAGCATTCTCAGAAACTTATTTGAGATGTGTGTACTCAACTAAGAGAATTGAACCACCGTTTTGAAGGAGCAGTTTTGAAACACTCTTTTTCTGGAAACTGCAAGAGTATATTTGCCTAGCCTTGAAGATTTCGTTGGAAACGGGATTGTCTTCAGATAAAATCTAGACAGACGCATTCTCAGAAACTTCTTTGGGATGTTTGCATTCAAGTCACAGAGTAGAACATTCCCTTTGGTAGAGCAGGTTTGAAACACTCTTTTTTTAGTATATGGAAGTGGACATTTGGAGCGCTTTCAGGCCTACGTTGGAAAAGGAAATATCTTCCCATAACAACTAGACAGAAGCATTCTCAGAAACTAGTTTCTGATGTGTGTCCTCAACTAACACAGTTGAACTTTTCTTTAGACAGAACAGTTTTGAAACACTCTTTTTGTGGAATCTGCAAGTGGATATTTGGCTAGATTTGAGGATTTCGTTGGAAACGGGATTACATATAAAAAGCAGACAGCAGCATTCTCAGAAAGTTCTTTGTGATGATTGCATTCAAGTCACAGAATTGAACATTCCCTTTCACAGAGCAGGTTTGAAACACTCTTTTTGTAGTGTGTGTAAGTGGACATTTGGAGCGCTTTCCGGCCTAAGGTGAAAAAGGACATATCTTCCCATAAAAACTAGACAGAAGCATTCTCAGAAACTTACTCGTGATGTGTGTCCTCAACTAAAGGAGTAGAACCTTTCTTTTCATAGAGAAGTTTTGAAACGCTCTTTTTGTGGAATCTGCAAGTGGATATTTGGCTAGTTTTGAGGATTTCGTTGGAAGCGGGAATTCATACAAGATGCAGACTGCAGCGTTCTGAGAAACATCTTTGTGATGTTTGTATTCAGGACACAGAGTTGAACATTCCCTACCATAGAGCAGGTTGGAATCACTCCTTTTGTCGTATCTGGAAGTGGACATTTGGAGCGCTTTCAGGCCTATGTTGGAAAAGGAAATATCTTCCCATAACAGCTAGACAAAAGCATTCCCAGAAACTTATTTGAGATGTGTGTACTCAACTAAGAGAATTGAACCACCGTTTTGAAGGAGCAGTTTGGAAACACTCTTTTTCTGGAATCTGCAAGTGGATATTTGGCTAGCTTTGGGGATTTCGCTGGAAGCGGGAATACATATAAAAAGCACACAGCAGCGTTCTGAGAAACTGCTTTCTGATGTTTGCATTCAAGTCAAAAGTTGAACACTCCCTTTCATAGAGCAGTCTTGAAACACCCCTTTTGTAGTATCTGGAACTGGAAATTTGGAGCGCTTTCAGGGCTAAGGTGAAAAAGGAAATATCTTCCCATAAAAACTGGACAGAAGCATTCTCAGAAACTTGTTTATGCTGTATCTGCTCAACTAACAAAGTTGAACCTTTCTTTTGATAGAGCAGTTTTGAAATGCTCTTTTTGTGGAATCTGCAAGTGGATATTTGGCTAGTTTTGAGGATTTCGTTGGAAGCGGGAATTCATACAAATTGCAGACTGCAGCGTTCTGAGAAACATCTTTGTGATGTTTGTATTCAGGACACAGAGTTGAACATTCCCTATCATAGAGCAGGTTGGGATCACTCCTTTTGTAGTATCTGGAAGTGGACATTTGGAGCGCTTTCAGGCCTATGTTGAAAAAGGAAAAATCTTCCCATAACAACTAGACAGAAGCATTCTCAGAAACTTGTTTGTGATGTGTTTCCTCTACTGACAGAGTTGAACCTTTCTTTTCATAGAGCAGTTTCGAAACACTCTTTTTGTAGAATCTGCAAGAGGATATTTGCATAGCTCTGAGGATTTCGTGGGAAACGGGATTGTCTTCAGGTAAAATCTAGACAGAAGCATTCTCAGAAACTTCTTCGGGATGTTTGCATTCAAGTCACAGAGTAGAACATTCCCTTTGGTAGAGCAGGTTTGAAACACTCTTTTTGTCGTATCTGGAAGTGGACATTTGTTGCGCTTTCAGGCCTATGTTGGAAAGGGAAATATCTTCCCGTAACAACTAGGCAGAAGCATTCTCAGAAACTTATTTGAGATGTGTGTACTCAACTAAGAGAATTGAACCACCGTTTTGAAGGAGCAGTTTGGAAACACTCTTTTTCTGGAATCTGCAAGAGGATATTTGCCTAGCTTTGAGGATTTCGTTGGAAAAGGGATTGTCTTCAGATCAAATCTAGACAGAAGCATTCTCAGAAACTTCTTTGGGATGTTTGCATTCAAGTCACAGAGTAGAACATTCCTTTGGTAGAGCAGGTTTGAAACACTCTTTTTTTAGTATATGGAAGTGGACATTTGGAGCGCTTTCAGGCCTACGTTGGAAAAGGAAATATCTTCCCATAACAACTAGACAGAAGCATTCTCAGAAACTAGTTTCTGATGTGTGTCCTCAACTAACACAGTTGAACATTTCTTTAGACAGAACAGTTTTGAAACACTCTTTTTGTGGAATCTGCAAGTGGATATTTGGCTAGATTTGAGGATTTCGTTGGAAACGGGATTACATATAAAAAGCAGACAGCAGCATTCTCAGAAACTTCTTTGTGATGATTGCATTCAAGTCACAGAATTGAACATTCCCTTTCACAGAGCAGGTTTGAAACACTCTTTTTGTAGTGTGTGTAAGTGGACATTTGGAGCGCTTTCCGGCCTAAGGTGAACAAGGAAATATCTTCCCATAAAAACTAGACAGAAGCATTCTCAGAAACTTACTCGTGATGTGTGTCCTCAACTAAAGGAGTAGAACCTTTCTTTCCATAGAGAAGTTTTGAAACGCTCTTTTTGTGGAATCTGCAAGTGGATATTTGGCTAGTTTGGAGGATTTCGTTGGAAGCGGGAATTCATACAAGATGCAGACTGCAGCGTTCTGAGAAACATCTTTGTGATGTTTGTATTCAAGACACAGAGATGAACATTCCCTATCATAGAGCATGATGGAATCACTCCTTTTGTAGTATCTGGAAGTGGACATTTGGAGCGCTTTCAGGCCTATGTTGAAAAAGGAAATATCTTCCCATAACAACTAGACACAAGCGTTCTCAGAAACTTGTTTGTGATGTGTGCCCTCCACTGACAGAGTTGAACCTTTCTTTTCATAGAGCAGTTTTGAAACACTCTTTTTGTAGAATCCGCAAGAGGATATTTGCATAGCTTTGAGGATTTCGTGGGAAACGGGATTGTCTTCAGGTAAAATCTAGACAGAAGCATTCTCAGAAACTTCTTTGGGATGTTTGCATTCAAGTCACAGAGTAGAACATTCCCTTTGGTAGAGCAGGTTTGAAACACTCTTTTTGTAGTATCTGGAAGTGGACATTTGGAGCGCTTTCAGGCCCATGTTGGAAAGGGAAATATCTTCCCGTAACAACTAGGCAGAAGCATTCTCAGAAACTTATTTGAGATGTGTGTACTCAACTAAGAGAATTGAACCACCGTTTTGAAGGAGCAGTTTTGAAACACTCTTTTTCTGGAATCTGCAAGAGTATATTTGCCTAGCCTTGAGGATTTCGTTGGAAACGGGATTGTCTTCAGATAAAATCTAGACAGAAGCATTCTCAGAAACTTCTTTGGGATGTTTGCATTCAAGTCACAGAGTAGAACATTCCCTTTGGTAGAGCAGGTTTGAAACACTCTTTTTGTAGTATCTGGAAGTGGACATTTGGAGCGCTTTCAGGCCTATGTTGGAAAGGGAAATATCTTCCCTTAACAACTAGGCAGAAGCATTCTCAGAAACTTATTTGAGATGTGTGTACTCAACTAAGAGAATTGAACCACCGTTTTGAAGGACCAGTTTTGAAACACTCTTTTTCTGGAATCTGCAAGAGTATATTTGCCTAGCCTTGAGGATTTCGTTGGAAACCGGATTGTCTTCAGAGAAAATCTAGACAGAAGCATTCTCAGAAACTTCTTTGGGATGTTTCTATTCAAGTCACAGAGTAGAACATTCCCTTTGGTAGAGCAGGTTTGAAACACACTTTTTGTAGTATCTGGAAGTGGACATTTGGAGCGCTTTCAGGCCTATGTTGGAAAGGGAAATATCTTCCCGTAACAACTAGGCAGAAGCATTCTCAGAAACTTATTTGAGATGGGTGTACTCAACTAAGAGAATTGAACCACCCTTTTCAAGGAGCAGTTTTGAAACACTCTTTTTCTGGAATCTGCAAGAGTATATTTGCCTAGCTTTGAGGATTTCGTTGGAAACGGGATTGTCTTCAGATAAAATCTAGACAGAAGCATTCTCAGAAACTTCTTTGGGTGTTTGCATTCAATTCATAGAGTAGAACATTCCCTTTGTTAGAGCAGGTTTGAAACACTCTTTTTTTAGTATATGGAAGTGGACATTTGGAGCGCTTTCAGGCCTACGTTGGAAAAGGAAATATCTTCCCATAACAACTAGACAGAAGCATTCTCAGAAACTAGTTTCTGATGTGTGTCCTCAACTAACACAGTTGAACATTTCTTTAGACAGAACAGTTTTGAAACACTCTTTTTGTGGAATCTGCAAGTGGCTATTTGGCTAGATTTGAGGATTTCTTTGGAAACGGGATTACATATAAAAAGCTGACAGCAGCATTCTCAGAAAGTTCTTTGTGATGATTGCATTCAAGTCACAGAATTGAACATTCCCTTTCACAGAGCAGGTTTGAAACACTCTTTTTGTAGTGTGTGTAAGTGGACATTTGGAGCACTTTCCAGCCTAAGGTGAAAAAGGAAATATCTTCCCATAAAAAATAGACAGAAGCATTCTCAGAAACTTACTCGTGATGTGTGTCCTCAACTAAAGGTGTAGAACCGTTCTTTTCATAGAGAAGTTTTGAAACGCTCTTTTTGTGGAATCTGCAAGTGGATATTTGGCTAGTTTTGAGGATTTCGTTGGAAGCGGGAATTCATACAAATTGCAGACTGCAGCGTTCTGAGAAATATCTTTGTGATGTTTGTATTCAGGACACAGAGTTGAACATTCCCTATCATAGAGCAGGTTGGAATCACTCCTTTTGTAGTATCTGGAAGTGGACATTTGGAGCGCTTTCAGGCCTATGTTGAAAAAGGAAATATCTTCCCATAACAACTAGACACAAGCATTCTCAGAAACTTGTTTGTGATGTGTGCCCTCTACTGACAGAGTTGAACCTTTCTTTTCATAGAGCAGTTTTGAAACACTCTTTTTGTAGAATCTGCAAGAGGATATTTGCATAGCTTTGAGGATTTCGTGGGAAACGGGATTGTCTTCAGGTAAAATCTAGACAGAAGCATTCTCAGAAACTTCTTTGGGATGTTTGCATTCAAGTCACAGAGTAGAACATTCCCTTTGGTAGAGCAGGTTTGAAACACTCTTTTTGTAGTATCTGGAAGTGGACATTTGGAGCGCTTTCAGGCCCATGTTGGAAAGGGAAATATCTTCCCGTAACAACTAGGCAGAAGCATTCTCAGAAACTTATTTGAGATGTGTGTACTCAACTAAGAGAATTGAACCACCGTTTTGAAGGAGCAGTTTTGAAACACTCTTTTTCTGGAATCTGCAAGAGTATATTTGCCTAGCCTTGAGGATTTCGTTGGAAACGGGATTGTCTTCAGAGAAAATCTAGACAGAAGCATTCTCAGAAACTTCTTTGGGATGTTTGCATTCAAGTCACAGAGTAGAACATTCCCTTTGGTAGAGCAGGTTTGAAACACTCTTTTTTTAGTATATGGAAGTGGACATTTGGAGCGCTTTCAGGCCTACGTTGGAAAAGGAAATATCTTCCCATAACAACTAGACAGAAGCATTCTCAGAAACTAGTTTCTGATGTGTGTCCTCAACTAACACAGTTGAACATTTCTTTAGACAGAACAGTTTTGAAACACTCTTTTTGTGGAATCTGCAAGTGGCTATTTGGCTAGATTTGAGGATTTCGTTGGAAACGGGATTACATATAAAAAGCAGACAGCAGCATTCTCAGAAAGTTCTTTGTGATGATTGCATTCAAGTCACAGAATTGAACATTCCCTTTCACAGAGCAGGTTTGAAACACTCTTTTTGTAGTGTGTGTAAGTGGACATTTGGAGCACTTTCCGGCCTAAGGTGAAAAAGGAAATATCTTCCCATACAAACTAGACAGAAGCATTCTCAGAAACTTACTCGTGATGTGTGTCCTCAACTAAAGGAGTAGAACCTTTCTTTTCATAGAGAAGTTTTGAAACGCTCTTTTTGTGGAATCTGCAAGTGGATATTTGGCTAGTTTGGAGGATTTCGTTGGAAGCGGGAATTCATACAAATTGCAGACTGCAGCGTTCTGAGAAACATCTTTGTGATGTTTGTATTCAAGACACAGAGTTGAACATTCCCTATCATAGAGCAGGTTGGAATCACTCCTTTTGTAGTATCTGGAAGTGGACATTTGGAGCGCTTTCAGGCCTATGTTTAAAAAGGAAATATCTTCCCATAACAAGTAGACACAAGCATTCTCAGAAACTTATTTGAGATGTGTGTACTCAACTAAGAGAATTGAACCACCGTTTTGAAGGAGCAGTTTTGAAACACTCTTTTTCTGGAATCTGCAAGTGGATATTTGGCTAGCTTGGGGATTTCGCTGGAAGCGGGAATACATATAAAAAGCACACAGC